>NC_000002.12:20691573-20843088 GCF_000001405.40 Homo sapiens | reverse complement strand
AGCCCAGGGGGTAGAAGTTGCAGTGAGCCAAGATCCTGCCACTGCACTCCAGCTTGGGCAGCAGAGCCAGACCCTCTCTCAAAAAACAAAAATGGACAAACATTATACACTTGGGTAATTGCTGTAATTCAGATGTATTAGCCAAGATTAGAGTGGGTACATGTAAGAGAAAACCAAAATAAGGGTAGGATAAACAAAATTAATAAACCTCTATCACTCAAGTAAAAGAAGCTCAGAGGTACATAGTCCAAGGCTGGTATGGCAGCCTCATAGTGTCAGTCTTGGGATTATTCTTTCTGCCCCACCATCTGTAATGCATAGTGTTCATTCTTAAGGAAGCCCCATGGTCCAGTATGGATGGTGGAGCTCCAGCCAACACATCCACATTCCAGGCAGTGTGAAAAAGGGGGAGGCATAAAGACAAAAAGAGCCAGAGCCAGATATCTGTCCTCCTTTTGAGATTTCTGGGAAGTCCCGTTCAGCATCTATTTGCATTTTCTTGGCCAGAACTTGGATGCTTAGACAGAAGAAGGTTGGAAATTGGGCACACTGGCACTCCAGATAGTATCAGGAATCTTTTAGTGGAGAAAGAGGGGAGAATGGATGTTGGATTGTCTGTCAATTTGCCATCTCTCCCTCAGCAAGTCTATACAAAGTACAGCGAGAACAGGGCAGGGTGCCTGGGACAGGCAGAAAAGGACTCACTGAAAATGGAGCATTTGAGTTAAAACAAAAAGAACTAATTAGCCTCCTCAGTTAGCAAAGAACATCCCTGGCCACACAAATAGAGTGTGGTAAAGACAGAGAGGTCAGAATGTAGCTTGTAAGGAAACTCTAGGTAGTTTAGACTCTTGGAGGAGGGAGATAAGATCAGAAGGGGAATTAAGACAAGATCATGAAGACCTCATAAGCTGGAGAGAGAAGCATGGGTTTCATCTTGCGGATAAGAGGGAGCTGACTAGCAATTTTCAGCATGAGACTGACACCGTCTGATTTTTACAACTAAAAGATCTTTCACCACCTACTCTAGGATGCGTCTATCAGTGAGAGATGCAAGGAGAATTCTGCCTCATCCCAAATGGGTCACCCCAATAGAGAGTCACTAATAGATGCTAAGAACATCTCTGGTGGTGACAGAAAAAGGAAAGAGGAGCAAGGCAAATAACTGGGACTCCCTTGCAAAGAGAACACACACACACACACATACACACACACACGCACACCAAACAAACCCAGTTTAGACACACTCCAAATCTGCAGAGGTCTAACAGTAAACATTGGGGCTTGAATAAACAGAAAAAAGGGAAAAGATTAAGAGATGGATTTTAAAAAGTAACAATTTAACTCTGATCTATTCTTTTGTTCTGTCTTTTATAGATCAGTCTTCTACCCCTGCCCGCCCACACACACTTAAATCCTATCTCACCGTTAACATAATGGAGAGCCAATTTTTAAATCAAAAGCCATTTTTAGGATCAAAGAGAAACATATTTCTAGGCGGGTAGTATGTTAGTTATATCTTGTAACATCATATGGTGAGGAGTATTCAACTAAAATTAGAGATGATATTCACTGAAATTCTCAAAAAATCAAGTGCCTCCAAATCCAGGGGGGAAGGAAATGGAATCTTTTTTCTTGCGGGATATTTTTCTCAAGTACTACCGGAAGTGCTAATGAGAGACAGGCCTTCTTGCCATCCAGTGACAAATGTAATAGGTCACATGAAACCACAGAAAATGAGTCTATTTAAAAATGTCAGATACAACACTAAAGGAAAACTCAGTCTTGCATTTTTTCCTCTTGATCATGGTCTAATAGAGACAATTCAGAAATTATTTCTTCTGAACTTGGTGATATTCATGATTGAAATCGTGTTGCTAATGGTAACAATGTGTAGAATTATTACACAGAAAGTACTAATAATGCAAATCATATGATCCATAGTTGCAGTTCCCCTATATTTTTTTCTAGGCATATTTGATTCCTCAGAGATTAGAAACAAATCTCAGATTTGTACTAACAGATAGAGAATTGGGGTTTAAAAGAATAAAATTAGAGCATTCACCAAATTTTCACTTATGCCAGTTTCCCCACGTGAAATAATGGCAATGTAACGCAGGGGGGCATTAAAAAAAAACACTCTTTTCAGATAGTTTTGGCATTTGATATATTTTTGCTTAGATCTATCTATGAGATGTGAAAACAAGTATAACATCACATGAGTACTTGTTAAATCAAAGGCACAACTCAATCTTCGATGTAAAAAATATAAGGCTCACTTTGGAATCTTTAACTTCTTAACTACGTTTTCAAGAAAAAGTTAGATTTTTTCCCCTACTTAGAAGAATTATAAAAATTATCTTCATATCTCATACTGTTTGTATATCTATTAGTTCTTGGAAACGATCTTTCTCCTCTGTAAGAAACACTTTAAAAAAGCTTGGTAGAAATTTTTATTTTTAAAAGTTATTTTATTTAAAAAAATCATTTATCTTTGACTTTCATGGGCATATAGTAGGTGTATATATTTATGGGGTACATGAGATATTTTGATACAGGCATATAATGTGTAGTAATCATGTCATGGTAAGTGGGGTCCATCATCATAAGCATTCATTATTTCTTTGTTATAAGCAATCCAATTATACTCTTCTGGTTATTTTTAAGTGTACAATACATTATTGTTGACTGTAGACACCCTGTTGTGCTATCAAATCCTAGATCTTATTTATTCTATCTATTTATATTTTGTGCTCATTTACCAACCTTCTTCCTCCCTCCCTCATCCACCACCTACTACCTTTCTCAGACTCTGGTAACCATCCTTTTACTCTCTATCTCCATAAGTTCAACTGTTTTAATTTTTAGCTCCCACAAATAAGTGAGAACACGCAAAGTTTGTTTTCCTGTGCCTGGCTTATTTCACTTAACATAATGACCTCCAGTTCCATCCATAATGTTGCAAATGACAGGATCTCATTCTTTGTATGGCTGAATAGTATCCCATTGTGTGTATGGTACCACATTTCCTTTGTTCAGTTGTCTGCAGATGGACACTTAGGTTGCTTCCAAATATTGGCTATTGTGAATAGTGCAGAAATAAACATGGGAGTCAGAGATCTCTTCAATATACTGATTTCCTTCCTTTTGGGTATATACCTAGCATTGGGATTGCTGGATTATAAGGTAGTTCTACTTTTAGTTTTTTGAGGAACGTCCAAACTATTCTCTGTAGTGTTTGCACTATTTTATTTACATTCCCACCAAGATTGTATGAGGGTTTCCTTTTCTCCACATCCTCACCAGCATTTGTTATTGCCTATCTTTTGGATAAGATTCATTTTAACTGGGTTGAGATGCTATCTCATTGTAGTTTTTAAAATAAAACAGCAATAGCTCAGGTAGAACTAAATCGTGGTAGTTTTGATTTGCATTTCTCTAATGATCAGTGACGCTGAAACAACACTCATTTTTCTTTTCCTTTTTATTTGTACAAATATATGGGGTATATGTGCAAGTTTGTTATGTGCATAGATTGTGTAGTGGTCAAGTCAGCACTTTTAGGGTATCCATCACCGAAATAACATACATTATATCCATTAACCAACTCTTCATCATCCTCCCCCTTCTCACCTCCAGACTCTTCCAAGTCTCCATTATCTATCATTCCACTCTTTACAACAATGTGAACAAATTTTTAGCACCCAATTATGAGTGAGAATATGCAGTATTTGTCTTTCTATGTCTGTCTTGTTTCACTTATGCTAATGAAATCCAATTTCATCAATGTTGCTGCAAATGACATGATTTCATTTTTATGGCTGCATAGTATTCCATTGTGTATATATACCACATTCTCTTTATCCATTCATCTGTTGATGGACACAGGTTCATTCCGTATCTTTGCTATTTTGCATAGTGTTTCAATAAATATATGAGGGCAGCTATCTTTTTGATATATTGACTTGTTTTCTTTTGGGTAGATGCCCAGTAGTGAGATTGCTGGGTTGAATGGTAGTTCTATTTTTAGTTCTTTGAGAACTCTCCATACTACTTTCCATACAGGCTGTACTAATTTTCATTCCCAAGAACAGTATATAAGCCTTTCCTTTTCTCCACGTGCTCAAAATATTTATTTTCTGAGAGACATTTATAAAGATATATGATGTCATTCTCCTTATCAGTTATTTTTACCTGTTTTAAGGACTGATAAAATCAGAATTTGAAAATGACAAGAAAAAAAGTCTTTTTTTTATATTAATGAATTTCTAGAACTATGTCCCAAAGCTGATGGGTATACAGCAATGGGATTTCCTCAAAGAAACGGAGCTGTAATAGGGAAATTTTTTTGCCCAAAGACTTGGCATCAAATGAATCATGACTGTCTGCAAAATTTGTCGTATAACAAATAGCAAATTTTGCATATAGCAAAGGCACAGCTATAAATCTTTATAATAATAATTTAAATAACAAAAATTGTGTTTCAAGTTGCATAAAATGTACTTATACATTATTGGTTCAAAAGATGTTACTATATCATATTTAGATGTACATTATATATTATATGTTGTATGTTATATATAATACAATATTTAAAGGTACATACAAAGGATACATATCTATATATTTGACATGTCCTGTATTAGGCACTTGTGCTACTTTTTGCTACAATAAAAAATAATCCCGAAATCTCAACAATTTACAACAATGAAGATTTATTTCTTGCTCCCATTGCATGTCCTTCCCAGATTGGCTGCACCTCTATTCCACATCTTCTTCATTCTGGGACCCAAGACAAAGGAACACCCCAATCTGGGACATGCTGATCTTGAGGCAGAGAGAAAAGAGGAATGGCAGAATTCCACAATGGCAGAATCCCACAATGGACCATCTGTTAACATTCCATTGTCTATAACAAGCTACAACGCCAAGTTTGATGTCAATGGTGCACAAAATACAATGTCTCACTGGGAAGGGCAGAAAATTATTAAGAGTAATTTTATTGTTTAAGAGACTTCCTGAAAACATATTTATCCAAAGGGCAGATCACCCAATTATCTCCACAGGACAATGATCACTCAACTGAACAAATGTGCTTGCTTATCAAATGACTGTTTACTTGTCAGTACATCAGGAAATGGGATCTACTCAAAGCAAAGCTCAAAGGAACATTCACCGCTGGAAGATTTATATTTACAAATAGGACTCAGGTTAGAAAAAAAGAATCCCAAGGAAAGGTGAAGAGAAGAAACATACATTTTTTTAAAAATCAGTATTAAATTTAATAAGAGAAGCTTATAGAACAAATATGTAAATTCAAAAACTGTTTCTACTGAAAATCTTAAAAATATACAAACATGGCCGGGCACATGCCTGTAATCCCAGCACTTTGGGAGACTGAAGTGGGCGGATCATGAGGTCAAGAGATCAAGACCAACCTGGCCAACGTGGTGAAACCCTGTCCCTACTAAAAATACAAAACTTAGCTGGGTGTGGTGGTACGTGCCTGTAATTCCAGCTATTCGGGAGGCTGAGGCAGGAGAATCGCTTGAACCCGGGAGGCGCAGGTTGCAGTGAGTTGAGATCACGTCACTGTACTCCAGCCTGGTGACAGAGTGAGACTTTGTCTCAAAAAAATTTTAAAAAAATTTTTTAAATAAAAATATACACAAACATAAACTATTACTTAATCTTATCAAGTAGGGAAATAGGCGACATCACAAAAGCACAAAAGTTGGAAATGCTAATGGAATAACCACAAATATATTTAAAAATTGAAAGATTCAAAAACAACTATTTTGTTCAACTCTAAGCAAATAAATTTGAGAACCTGAATTAAAAGGGTGATTTTTAAGAAAATATAAATTGCCAATAATCAGAATATTATTTAAACTTTTCCAAAGCATAGATTATAAAAGAAGGGAAACTTCTAAATTATTTATATGAAGCTAGTATTATATTGGTAACAAAAATCCTAAAAGAAAGCCACAAATATATCTTACTTAAAATATCAGTATAAAATCCTATATAAAATATTAGCAAATAGAATATAGTGTCACATTAAAATAACATTTTATGATTTTTATATTTTTTAGGGGACCCCCAAAATAAGTAGCCTTCATCCCTGAGTTCTGAAAAAAAAAAAAAAACTGAATGATCAGACTAGGAATAAAGCATCTGGAGACCAAAATGTCATCTTTATTTCTGATAAAGGCTATATTAGGGTCCATAGTACGAGAGTCAAAAGGGCCTGCAAAGAAAACCCCAGAATTAGACAGACTTACCCAGGCAGTCACAGACAATGTTCTCCTGGGTTGGAGATTTTCCCAGGTTATTCTTAGATCCTGGGGAAACAAAGACCTCCCACTCCCTGTGGGAAGCTAGCTCCAAGAACACAACAGATGATTTAAGCATTCACAGTTATTTTTCCAAACTTTAGATATCAGGCAAGTCACTCCATTTTCCCTGGGGCAGGGTAAGGAAGGGATTGAAGCCTAGATTGTTCCACTAATTGAAGTCACTCACCATAGAAAGAAACATTGGAGATCAGGTGCAGGGTTTCACACCTGTAATCCCAGCATCTTGGGAGGCTGAGGCAGGAGTTTGAGACCAGCCCAGAAAACAGCGAGAACCTGTCTCTACAAAAAAGTTAAAAATTATCTGGGTGCAGTGGTGCATACCTGTAGTCTTAGCAACTTAAGGGGCTGAGGTGGGAGGATCTCTTGAGTCCATGAGTTAGAGACTATACAGTGAGATATGATCATGCCACTGCACTCCAGCCTGGGCGACAGAGTGATAATCAGTTTCCAGAAAACAAAAAAAAAGAAACACTGAGAATGGAAAATATATTCCAGCTTGTTAGTTTTGTTTTAGTTTTTTTTTTTTCTTTTTAAAAAACTCACTTGGTTTAACCATTACCCCTATGGTCTACATCCCTCAGGAGACAGACTCCTTAGGAGAGTCCTGCTCCTACCCTCCGCAGACTGTACACCAAGAACTGTTCTGTGGGTGTCCTTCAGGAACTGCTGATGGGCAAGATGGGTATTGCCCCGTGAAAGCTATGAACTGGCTCAGAACACATATTTGATCAATCCAAGGTCATCCCGTGCTCAAGATTGAAATTTTATTCTCCATTTTGTTTTCCATTTTAAATTCTGTCCTTGCTGTGTTGTCTCAAATAACCTTTCAGAGCTTCTGCAATGAGATTAAATGACAACATCAAGGTACTCCCTTAGTAAAATGTAAACACTTATTGTGCCCTGGAAGCTTCAGAATGGAACCATGAGGATGCAGTCAGCCAAATCCATTTTTAAGAGATTGAATATCTACTGGATATTAGAAGATATCAGAGTTATTGTTAATTTTGTGTGATAATGGTATTGTTGTTCTACTTTTTAAAGTCCTTATCTGTTTAACATTCATACTGATGTATCTAAAGTTAAAATAATGTGATATCTGAAATTTGCTTTTAAATATTCCAGAAAACAAACAAACAAACAAAAAATAGTGATGTGAACATACTGCAGATGTAATAAGTAAATTATCTTGAGATTCCAAGAGCCTAAGTCTGCCTAGGAAACTTAGGACAGTGATATTTGAGGATTAAAATATGTGTAGAAACTTTCTGGGCCAAAAGGGGTAGAGTAATCATGGAAGAGAATAGTATTCTAGGCAGACAGCATAGGCTATGTGAGGGTACAGAGGTTTGGAAAAGAATGTTGAAACAGACAAAACAGAGCTCAGGGCAATTCTGTGGCAGAAACTGTGCGCAACCCTAGTAAAAACATTTGAGGTAAAAGTGTTATTAGTTGTGATTGTACAGAGTTGAGACAAGTCCAATTTTCTTCACTGATCATGCTTTTTCAGACTATTTTACGTATTTGTTAAATTAATCTCCTCATCTAGAATGCAATTTTCTCTCCTTTACGCAAATACTATCTTTCAAGGCAGAGTTCAAGAATATTCTTCAGTCAAAAGCCCTTCTTACCCATTTATAGTTCGCTGGACTCCCCTTCTTCTGACTCTTACAAGTGTGCTCTTCAATATAGTTCTTGAGGATGAGCTGGTCGATAGAATGAGCACAGTTTTACATGGGCTAATATCCTCTGGACTAGAAGGAGGTTTCTCAAACCAAGGCTAGCACAATGCTTAGGATGTTATAGGACTCATCACATGGGGGCATTCTCCAAACAGGAAGAGAGCCACATCCTCACATGGGCCGCCAAAAAGTTAAAGTACCTACTTAGTCGCCACGGGCACTCTTTGGAGCTGATATATCAACCTCACCATCTTGGGAAAAGAAAGAAACAAAAGGAAGGAAGGAAGGAAGGAAAGAAGGAGGGAGGGAGGGAAGGAAGGAGGGAGGGAGGGAGGGAGATAAGGAGGGAAAGGGGAGGGGGAGGGGGAGGGGGAAGGGGAGGGGGAGGGGGAAGGGGAGGGGGAAGGGGAGGGGGAAGGGGAGGGGGAAGGGGAGGGGGAAGGGAAGGGGGAAGGGGAGGGGAGGGGAAGAGGGAGGGAAGGGAATGAATGTGGTTCCCCCATTTCCGTGAAATGTTACACAAAAGAGATGACTCCAAAATTTTAATAATATTAGAAATTCACATTTTAAAAATATTTTAGTTTAACTCTGTGAATTTCAGCTAAGAATTCTAAAGCAAACCATAAATGAAAACGGAATCTAAGAATGGATTTGAACCCTGTGCTACAGTGTGCCTATATTTTGGTGATCACAAACTGACTGTGAGAAGGCAGGCAAACATGAGACCGCTTTAAAGGTATCTAAATTCAAGAAAGCAAAAGTGTAACAGAAACCATAATAGTACTTTGGCAACAACTAGTGCTCTGAAGCTTGGGATTCTCTAGCTAATATCATTCATTTGTTTTCAAAACAGAAATGGTCTGAGCCTTCATTTAGTTGATTTATTAGTTTCCTATGGTTGCTGCAACAAATTATCACAAATTTGGCCCTTAAAACAATACTAATGTATTATCTTACAGACAGCTCTGGAGGTCAGAACTTCAAAATGGGGTTTTTTTTTGTTTTTTGTTTTTTGAGGCGGAGTCTTGCTGTGTCTCCCAGGCTGGAGTGCAGTGGCGCAATCTCGGCTCACTGCAAGCTCCGCCCCCCGGGTTCACGCCGTTCCCCCGCCTCAGCCTCCGGAGTGGCTGGGACCACAGGCGCCCGCCGCCTCCAAATCGGTTTTAATGGGCTAAAATCAAGATGTTGATGGGCCTGTGTTCCTTCTGGAAGTTCTAGAGGAACATTCACTTCCTTGCTTTTTCCAGCAATTGGCTGCCTACATTCCTTGGTCTGTGACCCCTTCCTCCACCTTCCAGCCAGCAGCGTAGCATCTTCCAATCCCTCTCTTTGACTGACAGCTGCCTCCACCATCACATCTCCTTCTCTCCCCGTGCTTCCAAAGTCACAGTATCATCTCTGATTCTGACCCTCCTGTGTCCGTCTTACACAAACCCTTGTAGTTATATTAGGCCCACCTAGAAAATCTTCGATAACCTCTCCTTTTCAAGACCCTTAACACTTCTTAATCACATCTGCAGAATCTTTTTTGTCACATAAGGTAGCATCACAGGTTCCAGGGATTAGGACATGGACATCTTTGGGGTGCCATTGCTCAGTCTACCACAGTTGGATAGGTGGATGGTATGGGAAGGAGTTTTGTCTATGAAAGATTCCATTCTTATTTTACTGGGGAATATAAAGTCTCCATTAAAAAATAAAAAGGAATGATTTGTGAAAAGTCCTGTAACAGTATTATTAACCCACAAAAGCTTTGTTGAACGGACAATAAGTTTCTGAGGAATCCAATAAAATGGGAACATACTGTACTCTAAAGGGATATTCATCTGCAGCTAGTCCTACAAATCTCTACTTTGTTTTTAATTTATAGAGATAGTTGAACTACTTCTCCCATATTTTTCTTATCCTCACCCTACCCTGTCCTGCCACTAAAAGGTTCTTTATGATGTGGTTTCATTGAGGAGGGCTGATGGGTCATATCATGGATTAATACAAAACATTTGGCATTGCAGTTATACTAAACGGTGAATTACCTTGAAAGTCTTCAAAATATGATTTTAGTTTCTCTCTATAATATACATAAACACATATATATACAAATGTATGTGAGTATATACATATATTTTGTATAATTTTTGATGGCACAAGCATCTAAATGTTGGTGTTTGCCAGGTTTTTTTATTCATTTTACAAGCCAAGTGCATGTATGAAGGCAGTACTATCAATGAATAGTCTGCCAACAAGAATCTCCAAGTCTCACAGCTCAAGTGTGCTGGCTTTCAAGACCATCTATTTCTTTGAGTCTTAGCATAATTAAATGCCAGGAGGAACAGCTTAGCTATAATATGGGAGTTAAATATGGCTTTGTCAATTTTTAGCTATTATCTCTATTCTGTGAAGATTTTTAAGGACTAAAATAATACATTTATAAATTTAAAAAAGAATGGATCTTGATTTTTAATTTATGCTTAAGATGAATCATTATGTGATCTGTTTTTCTGACCCAAAGTGTTTGAAAAAAGAATTAATGTGGATCTCAGGATATGCCAGTGCCATTTTGTGGAGGGCCGCATTAAATAATCATATGTTTTAAAGCATTTATAATTATCCCTATTTATAAATATATAAACAAGAAAATTCAGTATTAGAGCCAGTGGGAAAACATAATTCAAAATTCACTAACATTTATGACTCGTGGTCTGATCTCTAGAGTACACATTGAAGAGAAATCTTTGTCTTCTAAACTTTGAAAAAATATCTTTTTTTTCTCTCATCCCTTTGTTCTCTTTCCTTTTTCTTCCTCTTGTTGCCTTTTATATAATCATCAACCACACATATTAATTCAACAGATGTCTAAACCAGGAGTTTCCACTTTTTGTGGAATGGAATAATAAGGTAGAGGGGAACATTTTTGATTAATGAGCACAGGTCCTTCTAGCATTCTAATATCCACCAGATTATTCTCTTCTACCATGAAGATCTGAGTATTACCCATTTCTCTGGCTTGCTGTCATTGTGACATCAACAGCCTTGCTATGAAGTGTCCCCAACTAATCCCTCACCCCCACTAAATGTTCTCCAGCAATTGTGGCATTTCCTAGGAGTTTCCTTCAAGGGTCTCTGCATAGTTGATCTCAGAAATATGAGGAATGCAGCATTTTTCCTCTCTTTCTTCTCAGTGAAGTTGGCCATGAAATGCCAAAAGGTTCTGTACTATCTCCACTGTAACTCCCTGTAAGTGCTGCACGTAGTTGGTGGTTGATATACCTCTGAAATCATGTCATGTTTGTGGGACACTTTACTGGATTTCTCTGTTCTATAAGAGGCAGCTTTCTCCCTTCTGCTGTATTCCTTGGTACCAAAACCTGTCACAGTGGTTCTTGTCACAGAGGATTGCCTTGGGATCCCAAAATCTCTCCTGGACTTTGTGGAAAAATTATTTATTTCTTCTTGCTGCTAGAGTTTTCTCTCCATAGGACTCAGACATGAGTCTATATGGATTGGGCAAAGAGGGGCCATTTATGCCTGAGACCATCATCCTCAACTTGCCCTCAAACTTCTTTGCCCCTTCTAGACCCATGTAAACCATTTTGACATTTCTCTGTCAAGTCACAGAACTTGACATGAAGCAGATATTGTTATTTGACAAAAGTATCTCCTTCTGATCATTTACAGATTCCTTAACATTTCATAATTAGCCTATTTTACAAGTCTCAATTTACATTCTGGAGCTTCCTTTCCATAACTTATTTCCTATCACCCAATTATGAAGTTAAATAATCAGGAAACCCTTCATTGCATCTTTTTGTGGCCACTGCTAAACCAAATGAAGCAGGCAGTCAGCCCTTCATGGCTTTTATGATGAGTCCTCAGATACCCCTGGAGTAGGTAAGGATGTATCAGGAGGCTCTCTGCTGGAAATAACACAACACACCTGAAACTGACTTAAAAATAGGGCTTTCTTGGCTCACACAACTGGAATGTCCAAAGAGTAGCAGACTTCATGCATGATGATCAGAACCCCGCCTCCATTTCTCTGTGATTCTCTCCATGTCTTACTTCTCCCTATTTCAACTTTGCATCATGGAGACCAAACGTCTGCAGCAATTTTAGGCATCATATTCATATAGCACATTATCTGGAAAGACAAAGAACACAACTTGCCTGGCATCCCACGCTTCACCCTGACAGAATGGGCTTAGGTTACAGATCAAGCCAGGAACTAGTGACTAAGGCCAGGGAAGGGGAATATGATGACAGATTAAGCCAATCAAGGGTCGTCCTAGAGCTTCGCCCTAAACACATGAGCTTCCTAGGAGAAAGAATAAGTATTATTAGAAAAGAATAAGAGGGCCAGGTGCAGTGGCTCACACCTGTAAGGTCAAGACAGGAGGATTGCTTGAGCCCAAGAGTTTGAGATCAGCCTGGGAAATATAGTGAGACCTTATCTCTAAGAGAAAAAAAAAATTATCCAGGCTTGGTTGCTTGCACCTGTAGTCCTAGCTATGCAGAAGGCTGAGGTGGGAGGATTCCTTGAGCCCAAGAATTGGAGGCTGCAGTGAGCCATGATTATGCCACAGCACTCCAGCCTGGATGACAGAAAGAGACATTGTCTCAAAAAAAAGGAGAGGTGGGGTGGGAATAGATAACTAGACAAGAGAAAAAAAAAGGTCCCCATGTCACCCATTGCTTCAGTTTTGTTTATTCCAATGCCATACTATCAGCTAAAATGTCACTTTCTATTCCATTTCTTAGCTGGAACTACGCTCAGCTTTGCTATCCAACCAAATACACCATACAGGATTTCACATTTCTCTATGTGCCTGTATTAGTCCATTTTCACACTGCTATAAAAATACTACCAGAGACTGAATAATTTATGAAGGAAAGAGGTTTAATTGACTCACAGTTTCACATGGCTGGGGAGGCCTCAGGAAACTTACAATCATGGTGGAGGGTGAAGAGGAAGCAAGGCACATCTTACATGGCAGGTGAGAGAGAGAGAGAGAGAGAGAGAGAGGACAGGGTAAACTGCCAAACACTTTAAAAGCATCAGATCTTGTAAGAACTCACTCACTATCAGGAGAAGAGCATGGGGGAAGCCACCCCCATGATCAAATCACCTCCCACCACATCCCTCCCTCGACAGGTGGAGATTAGAATTCAAAATGAGATTTGAGTGGGAAGTCAGAGCCAAACCCTATCAGTGCCTTACACTAAGATCTATGTTAGATTTCAACAGATTTATTTAGTATTAGGAATAACAATAATAATAATAAACCAGTATTTTGAGTTGAATACAAATCAATAATGAATTAGAGCAACTAATTTAACTGCATGGTTTTTACCCCTAAAAGTAGCAGAATTCCCTAAAATTTACAGTTTTAGAGAAAAATTTAAAATGCTTAAAAATTCCAGCCAGGTGTGGTGGCTCACGCCTGTAATCCCAACACTTTGGGAGGCTGAGGGGGCGGACAAGTTGAGCCCAGGAGTTCGAGACCAACCTGGGCCACAGGGAAAAACCCTATCTATACTAAGAATAGAACAAATTATCTGGGTGTAGTAGCATGTGCCTGTAGTCCCAGCTACTCCAGTGGTTGAGGTGGGAGGATCAGTTGAGCCCAGGATTTCGAGACCAACCTGGGCCACAGGGAAAAACCCTATCTATACTAAGAATAGAACAAATTATCTGGGTGTAGTGGCATGTGCCTGTAGTCCCAGCTACTCCAGTGGTTGAGGTGGGAGGATCACTTGAGCCCAGGAAGTCAAAGCTGCAGTCAGCTGTGATCATGCTACTGCACTCCAGCCTGGGAAACAGGAGTGAGACCCTGCCTCAAAAAATAAAAAATAAAAATAAATAAATGAATAAAATGCTTTAAAATTCCATGTAGGTATTAAATAATAATTCAAAATAGTACTACAGAGAGAGTATCAAGGGACCGTATGATTATCTTATGATAATTTAGAAAATATGAGCCATGAGTTCAGAATGAAAACAAGAGGCGTGTGAGAGTAGAGTATATAAGGATTCTCCCACTCTCCTTATCCAACATTTATTTCCTAGTTTCATGCAGCTCTCTTCTCAAAATTACCTAAGACAGGATTTTTCCTGCCTGCATGATATAAAGTAATGCACCATTGTGGCAGTGCATCTCCACAATGGTCCCCAGTAGCCCCAGCCTTTCAGAATTCACATATCTTCCCACATTAAATAGCATGTAGAAGTGATAAGTGATTCATTTCACTGAGGGAATGATGCAGCAAGCCAATTCTGAGATTAGGTTATAAAAGACTGTGGCTTTTGTCTTAGGTACTGTCTCTGTATTCTCTGTCTCTTCCTCTGATGGAAGAAAGCTGCCATATTTCAAACAGCACTGTGGAGAGGTCCTCATGGTGAAGAACTGTGGCCTACAGCCATTGAGGAAGTCTGACCTGCCAACAACCAAATAATCTAGTCTTGCTTCTTCAGCCCCAGTCAAGGCTTGAGATGCTGTAACCCTGAGCAACTGGCTTAACAGGAACCTCATGAAAGACTTGGCTAGAACCTCTCAGCTAGGCTGCTACTGGTGTCCTGACCCTTTGAAACTGTGTAAGATAATAAATGTTTTATGTTTTAAGCTGATATATTTTGGTGCAACTGGATAAATAGTAACCAATGCACTCCTTGCTCTCTGTTTCTAACCTTGCCTTTTAATTCCCCTTGCACTGTCATTATATATTAATTTCTTTAGTTTGTTTATTGTGTCTGTGAGAACAATCACATTTCTCTTTGAGTTGCCTTTGTATTCCTAGCCTGGAAGAGTGTTTGGAATGTGACAGATAGTCAATAAAAAATGGATGAGTAACGGGAGTCTAAAATTTTTATGCAAAAGACGATAGCTTTTCATTTACTGTTTTTAAGTCAGTCTACAGTGGTCTGACTTTATGGCCATTTGTGATTATAGTAGACATCTTCGTGGAATGTCTGCCCCATTCACTATGATCCTCTTACTTATGGCAAAAAGTCAATATGACCACAAGCACTTGTCATTGACAATTGAATGATTGCTGGACACCAGACCTGCTATGTTGGTGACTGGATCATGAGGGATCTGCTGTTATGAATGGATTAATCCATTCATGGACTAAGAGATTAATGGGCTAATAGATTAACGGGTTATCACAGGAGTGGAACTGGCGAGAAGGCTCTCACCAGCTTCAGCCTCTTGACCTTGGCCTTCTCAGCCTCTGGAACTGTAATAAATAAATTAGTTTTATTATTTATTTATTTATTTATTTATTTATTTTTGAGATGGAGTCTCACTCTGTCACCCAGGCTGGAGTGCAGTGGCGCCATCTCGGCTAACTGCAAGCTCCGCCTCCAGGGTTCACGCCATTCTCCTGCCTCCTGAGTAGCTGGGACTACAGGCGCCCGCCACCACGCCTGGTTTATTTTGTTTCTGTATTTTTAGTAGAGACAGGGTTTCAACGTGTTAGCCAGGATGTTCTCAATCTCCTGACCTAGTGACCCGCCCGTCTTGGCTTCCCAAAGTGCTGGGATTACAGGCGTGAGCCACCATGCCTGGCCTAATAAATTTGTTTTTAAAATAAATTACCCAGTTTCAGGCTGGACAGAGTGGCTCACACCTAGGCAACATGGCAAGACCTTATCTCTAAATATGTGTGTGTGTGTGTGTGTGTGTGTGTGTGTGTGTGTGTATAAAATTTATATCAGTCTACAGTGGTAGACTGATATTAAAAATATATATATATAAATTAGCCGGGCATAATGGCACATGCCTGTAGTCCCAGCTCTTCAGGAGGCTGAGGCAGGAAGATAGCTTGAGCCCAGAAGTTCAAGGTTACAGTGAAAAATGAAAATGAAATTAAATAAAATAAAATGTATAAATTACCCAGTTTTAGGTATTCTGTTATAAGCAACAGTAAATGGGCTAAGACAGAAAATTGGTACTGGGTTTGAATATTTGTCCCCTCCAAAACTCATTGTTGTAGTCTGTTTGTGTTGCTTTATAGGAATACCTGAGGTTATGTAATTTATAAAGAAAAGAGGTTTGTTTGGCTCATACCTCTGTAGGCTGTACCAGAAGCACGGTGCTGGCATCTGCCTCTGGTGAAGACCTCAGGCTGCTTCTATTTATGGTGGAAAATGAAGGAGAACTGGTATGTAGAAACTGCACAGCAATAGAAAGCAAGAGAGAGAAGGGAGGGGGTGCCAGCTCTTTTAGCAACCAGCTCTCATTGGAAGCAACAGAGCAAGAACTCATTCACTCTTGCGAGCATGGCACCAAGCCATTATGAGGGATCCATACCCACAACCCACAACCCAGACACTACCCACCAGGCCCCATCTCCAATACTGGGGACCACATTTCAATCTGAGACTTGGTGGGGGCCAAAACAAACCATATCCAAACCATAGCATTCATGTTGAAATTTATTTCATTTTAAATAATGTGTTTTGTTTTTTATTTTTGTGGGTACATAGTAAGTGTATATATTTATGAGCTCATGTTAAAATTTAATCCCCAAAGGGGAGTATTAAAAGATGGGACCTTTATGGGGTGATTGAATCAGGAGGGCTCGGCCCTCATGGATAGATTAATTCCTTCATAGATTAATGGATCAATAGGTTAATGAATTAGATTAAGGGGTATCATGTGAGGGGAACTGGTGGCTTTCCAAGAAAAGAAAGAGAAACCTGAGCTAGCACACTCAGCCTCCTGGACAAGTGAGGCCCTGTGCTGCCTTAAGACTCTTCAGAGAGTCTTTCACCAGGTATAGCCCCTCGACCTGGGACTTCTCAGCCTCCATAACTGTAAGAAATAATTTTTTCTTTACAAATTAGCCAGTTTCTGGTATTCTACTATAAGCAACAGAAAATGGACTAGGACAAGACCTGAGCTGAGCCAATCAGAAATTCTTCCCCGGGTATTAGGAATTAAAATCGAAAGAGGGAGAAAAAAGAATCTCTGTGTGGCTGTCCCTCTGCATCAATCTGGACAGGCTGTGTGGCACTGTGGTAAGAAACAACAGCAACAACCTCCAAAGCCTTAAGCAACAAAGGTTTATTTCTTATCACAATATGTGTTGCTATGGTTTGGATATAGTTTGTCCCCAAAAAGACTCATGCTGAAATTTGGTCCCCAGTGTGGTGATGTTCAGAAGTGGGGCCTATGGGGAGGTGTTGGGGTCATGGGGTGGATC
The DNA here is from genome assembly GCF_000001405.40 of Homo sapiens. Lineage (NCBI taxonomy): Eukaryota > Metazoa > Chordata > Mammalia > Primates > Hominidae > Homo > Homo sapiens. Next base: position 20,825,846 of record NC_000002.12, on the reverse strand, counting down.
CCTCATGAAGAGATTGTTGCTGTTCTCGCCAAAGTCAGTTCTTGTTCTGAGACACAGCAGAGACCCCTCTTAAGGGCTTGCAGGGCACTCTCCACCAAAAGATGAAAATAAAAAAAAATCTTGACTTCCTTAAAGAAAATTCCAGACATCTAGCTAGTCCTAAAAACAAAAACAAAAACAAAACAAACTTAAAAGCAAGAAGATAATAAGAGCTTAAAACAATAGCCAAAAAATTAATGTCACGGGATATTGTATTTCCTATAAAAACTAAAGGTAACATCTTAACATATGTCCCAAGTTGTTTTTCAGAAACCCAGATCCCCACTAAATGGATCCACTGGCACACAGGCCTCAAATAAGGGAGAATTGAAGGCTAAACTCTGACTACTATTCTTTGTTCTAAATTTCTTCTTGAGGTGCTTAAAGGAGGCCATGCCCATGAGCCCAAGCTAATATCCTTTTCTGCTGATATCAAATTTTTAGAGAGTTTCACCTTCTTAACAAATCACAAATCAGAAAATCCTTAAATTCCACCTATGACCTGTGGGCCCCCCTCTTTGAGATGCCCCGCCAATGCACGGCAGGCAAGCCCCAAATTGGGGATTTGCCCAGTAGAGTTCTTAGCTTCGCCAAGAAAGAATTCAAGGGTGAGCCGGTGGTGTTAAATAGCAACTTTTACTGAAGTAGTAGTGTCCAGAAGCAGCAGAGATACTGCTCCTTGCAGAGCAGGGCTACCCCATAGGCAGTGTGTCCAGAGTAGCATCTGAAAGGCAGTTCTTCTGTCATATTTATAATCATTTTTAATTACAGGCAAATTAAGGGGTGAATTATGCAGAAATTTCTAGGAAAAGGGTGGTAACCTCTGGGTTGTCAGGTTGTTGCCATGGAAAGGGGCATTAATATGGAAAGCTGCTTCCTCCCTGCCCCTGTTTTAGCTAGTCCTCAATTTGGTCTGGTGTCCAATTCCTGCATCCTACCTCACTGCATTTTTAGGTTAAGCCAATATATAACCTCCATATATTGATTTATGACTTTGCCTATAACCTCTGACACCCCTGCATTTAAAAACCCTTACCTATAAACAATTAGGGAGTTCAAGACTTAAGCACTAACTGACCAGTTCTCCTTGCTTGGGACCCTACAATAAATGCCTCACTTTCTTTCACTATAATCCTGATGTCAGTGTTTGGTCTTGCTGCACAGGCAATTGGACTCCAGTTTGGTTTGATAACAGCTCTTGAGAGATTGGAAAAGAGAGAGTCCCTGAGAGAGTGGGTTGTTTTCCACCTCCTGTTTGGTCTGTTTTCACATGTATCAGCTTCCCCTTTGACCTTCTACCATGTTGTGACACTGCACAAAAAACTCTAACCAGAACTGAGCAGATGCTCACACTATGCCCCTTGAGCTTTCCAATGTGCAGAACCATGAGCTAAGTAAACCTCTTTTTTAAATCCAAGCATACTTTGAAGATATTGGGGGTTCAGTTCCATACTACCACAATAAAGCAAACATCACAATAAGGCAGTTCACAGAATTTTTTTGGTTTCCCAGTGCATATAAAATTTATATTTACACTGTACTGTAGATTATTGTGTACAACAGTATTATGTCTAAAAAAAGTACATACTAAGAAAAGAAAAATAGCCCAGAGCTGTCTGAGCTATGTGAGGTATGCAAAATTTATTAGACCCGGACAGAAGTGAATACTGGCTTCCGCCACGCCTTCCCATGCCTTAGGGCAATTGTTAAAGGCATTTTGTTCTTTATTAGCTGCCTCACCCATTATCTTTATGTTCCTGGAATTTGTGATACAAGGAAGAAAGCATAGCCAGTCAATAGCTTAAGTTTTTTAAATATAAATTCTTGGTAAACAAGTTAAGCTCTGCCTCCTCTCCTTTCCTTAAAAACCGGCTCACGCCTGTAATCCCAGCACTTTGGGAGGCCGAGGCGGGTGGATCATGAGGTCAGGAGATCGAGACCATCCTGGCTAACAAGGTGAAACCCCGTCTCTACTAAAAATACAAAAAATTAGCCGGGCGCGGTGGCGGGCGCCTGTAGTCCCAGCTACTCGGGAGGCTGAGGCAGGAGAATGGCGTGAACCCGGGAAGCGGAGCTTTCAGTGAGCCGAGATTGCGCCACTGCGGTCCGCAGTCCGGCCTGGGCGACAGAGCAAGACTCCGTCTCAAAAAAAAAAAAAAAAAAAAAAAAAAACCTACTCCGACTGCTGCTAATTGGAGTGTATATTCAAGGCAACTTGAATCTAAGCTCCTGAGTGGCCATTCTCAAGCACTGAGCCCAAATAAACTCTATACTTAATATTATTCTCTGAATTTTCTTAAAGTTGGCAACACCTTAATTAAAAAAATACTTTATTGATCATGCTTATGAACATGATCAAATGAGAATCAACTTTCCTGTGTATGTGGGGAAGATATGCAACTAGTAACGCAGAAAGAGGGAAATGGGAAGAGGGAGAAAAGAGGGGCAGACATGGAACAAATGAGAGAGAAGGAAAGGGAAGCCAGAAGCCAGAAGCACATCAAGGATGACAGAAAATAAAAGGCGGATAAAATTCAAATGAAAAAGAAAGGAAAACCCCGACACCCTCCAAGAGGTCTCTCTGATCTGGACCACCGGCTCCAAGCCAGTAAGAAATCTCCCAGCCAGCTGTGCGCCGCGCGCCAGGCTGACATCGGCTTCCCGGATCAGCTCCGGCGCGGTACTGTGACGTCACCTGAGGGGGGCACTTCCGGTCTCGTGCCGCCTTCCCAGGACCCTCAGGGAGAGCGGGCAGCCTTCCAGGTGGACAGGTGAGGTACAGCTTGCCGAGCTCAGGGTGACTGCCCAAAGGAAGGACGGGTGGGCAGGCACGCGGGATCTGGCGCCCCTTCTTCTCTATGGTTCCTCGCAGAGCCCCTGTTGCCCTGGGCCAGATGGCCCGTAGCAGCAAAAATAATACTGTTCCGACAGCTCGCGAGTTCGGAGCCACTTGGCCTGGGAGTCCCTTGAGTTGCAGGCCGGGCAGTCGCTCACCCGAGCGCGGTAATGCAGCATTTGAACCCCTAAGTGTAGCCCACCTGTAGGGAGTCTTATGGTGCCCCCGCGGAGGAGTAGAGGCCAAAAAGTTGGGCAGCTGGCCGGGAAGAACTCGCTAGGAGGGGTCAAACTCTGGGCCGGGAGTGTTCTTTGCCCCCGGCGTTTAGTGCTCACGCCGCCTTTTATTCACGCTGAAGACCTTAACCGTAAACCCTCATCCTTGGGTCTTAGTTTGGTTTTGTTCCCCACGCAAGACAGAATGCAGATTGGAACACTTTATTCCTTGGTTAATTCGTATCTTCCCTCGCAAGTAGTTACCGGACACCTGCTTTGTGTCCTGTGTACCAAACACAAGAGTTGATAGTCCTGGCCGGGCGCCGTGGCTCACGCCTGTAATCCCAGCACTTTGGGACCCCGAGGCGGGCGGATCAGGAGGTCAGGAGATCGAGACCATCCTGGCTAACACGGTGAAACCCCATCTTTACTAAAAATACAAAAATAAATACATAAATAAATAAATTAGCCGGGCGTGGTGGCGGGCGCCTGTAGTCCCAGCTACTCGGGAGACTGAAGCAGGAGAATGGCGTGAACCCGGGAGGTGGAGCTTGCAGTGAGCCGAGATGGCGCCACTGCACTCTAGCCTGGGCGACAAAGTGAGACTCAGTCTCAAAAAAAAAAAAAGAGTTGATAGTCCTTGAGTTGAAAGAACAAATCTGTATGGAGAAAGAGATACAACCAAAAGAAACCCAGAAGATTTAGAAGCATCTCCAGAATGTTTATTCTCAAAAGCTGTTTTTTAATTAAACTTCTTTCTGAAACTATACGTAGGAGTGTCTCTTGTGTGTTTCCCCATTTTTCCACCTGAAGGTTAAAGACTTAGAAACCTGCTAAGGCCCCTCTTTCCAGCATGTAGCATTCTAGGGGGATAATCAGGGCAACACAGTGGGTGCCCATCTAAAATTTTATATTTTAATATTTTGCTTTTTGATAACTTAATGCCTTCAGACTGGAGGATTTTTTCTTTCTTTTTTTTAATTTTTTTAAAATTATACTTTAAGTTCTAGGGTACATATGCACAACGTGCAGGTTTGTTACATATGTATACATGTGCCATGTTGGTGTGCTGCACCCATTAACTTGTCATTTACATTAGGTATATCTCCTAATGCTATCCCTCCCCACTCACCCCACCCCACAACAGGCCCCGGTGTGTGATCTCCCCCTTCCTGTGTCCAAGTGTTCTCATTGTTCAATTCCCACCTATGAGTGAGAACATGTGGTGTTTGGTTTTTTGTCCTTGCGATAGTTTGCTGAGAATGATGGTTTCCAGCTTCATCCATGTCCCTACAAAGGACATGAACTCATTCTTTTTTATGGCTGCATAGTATCCCATGGTGTATATGTGCCACATTTTCTTAATCCAGTCTATCATTGTTGGACGTTTGGGTTGGTTCCAAGTCTTTGCTATTGTAAGTAGTGCTGCAATAAACATACATGTGCATGTGTCTTTATAGCAGCATGATTTATATTCCTTTGGGTATATACCCAGTAATGGGATGGCTGGGTCAAATGGTATTTCTAGTTCTAGATCCCTGAGGAATCGCCACACTGACTTCCACAATGGTTGAGCTAGTTTACAGTCCCACCAACAGTGTAAAAGTGTTCCTGTTTCTCCACATCTTCTCCAGCACCTGTTGTTTCCTGACTTTTTAATGATCACCATTCTAACTGCTGTGAGAAGATGTCTCATTGTAGTTTTGATTTGCATTTCTCTGATGGCCAGTGATGATGAGCATTTTTTCATGTGTTTTTTGTCTGCATAAATGTCTTCTTTTGAGAAGTGTCTGTTCATATCCTTCACCCACTTTTTGATGGGGTTGTTTGTTTTTTTCTTGTAAATTTGTTTGAGTTCTTTGTAGATTCTGGATATTAGCCCTTTGTCAGATGAGTAGGTTGCAAAAATTTTCTCCCATTCTGTAGGTTGCCTGTTCACTCTGATGGTAGTTTCTTTTGCTGTGCAGAAGCTCTTTAGTTAAATTAGATCCCATTTGTCAATTTTGGCTTTTGTTGCCATTGCTTTTGGTGTTTTAGACATGAAGTCCTTGCCCATGCCTATGTCCTGAATGGTATTGCCTAGGTTTTCTTCTAGGGTTTTTATGGTTTTAGGTCTAACATTTAAGTCTTTAATCCATCTTGAATTAATTTTTGTATAAGGTGTAAGGAAGGGATCCAGTTTCAGCTTTCTACATATGGCTAGCCAGTTTTCCCAGCACCATTTGTTAAGTAGGGAATCCTTTCCCCATTTCTTGTTTTTGTCAGGTTTGTCAAAGATCAGATAGTTGTAGATGTGTGGTATTATTTCTGAGGGCTCTGTTCTGTTCCATTGATCTATATCTCTGTTTTGGTACCAGTACCATGCTGTTTTGGTTACTGTAGCCTTGTAGTATAGTTTGAAGTCAGGTAGCGTGATGCCTCCAGCTTTGTTCTTTTTGCTTAGGACTGACTTGGCAATGCAGGCTCTTTTTTGGTTCCATATGAACTTTAAAGTAGTTTTTTCCAATTCCATGAAGAAAGTCATTGGTAGCTTGATGGGGATGGCATTGAATCTATAAATTACCTTGGGCAGTATGGCCATTTTCACAATATTGATTCTTCCTATCCATGAGCATGGAATGTTCTTCCATTTGTTTGTGTCCTCTTTTATTTCATTGAGCAGTGGTTTGTAGTTCTCCTTGAAGAGGTCCTTCACATCCCTTGTAAGTTGGATTCCTAGGTATTTTGTTCTCTTTGAAGCAATTGTGAATGGGAGTTCACTCATGATTTGGCTCTCTGTTTGTCTGTTATTGGTGTATAAGAATGCTTGTGATTTTTGCACATTGATTTTGTATCTTGAGACTTTGCTGAAGTTGCTTATCAGCTTAAGGAGATTTTGGGCTGAGACGATGGGGTTTTCTGAATATACAATCATGTCATCTGCAAACAGGGACAATTTGACTTCCTCTTTTCCTAATTGAATACCCTTTATTTCTTTCTGCTGCCTAATTGCCCTGGCCAGAACTTCCAACACTATGTTGAATAGGAGTGGTGAGAGAGGGCATCCCTGTCTTGTGCCAGTTTTCAAAGGGAATGCTTCCAGTTTTTGCCCATTCAGTATGATATTGGCTGTGGGTTTGTCATAAATAGCTCTTATTATTTTGGGATACGTCCCATCAATATCTATTGAGAGTTTTTAGCATGAAGAGCTGTTGAATCTTGTCAAAGGCCTTTTCTGCATCTATTGAGATAATCATGTGGTTTTTGTCTTTGGTTCTGTTTATATGCTGGATTACGTTTATTGATTTGCGAGGACTTTTTTCTTTGTTAAAATGTTGCTCTGCTTTCAGCATTTTCTCCCTTGTAGTATTACCATAATGTATTTAAGATTGAGCACTTAATTCTGAAGTCACTTTAAGTATACCTCAACCAAAGGGAAATTAATATATTATTTCTAATGAGTGTATTTAATATAGGTAAGTAGTTTGTACACTTGTGAAATTCTTGGCATTAATTGATGTCCAGAAGCTGAAAGCTACTCTCTGGTACATTAAAAAAAAATTGTGTGTGTAATTACAAGAAAGTTTGATGTCACAGTTGCAAAGGAGTTGTGCAAAACAAATTGCCTTTTTCCAGTAAAGATAATTCAGCAAGTTCATCTTGAGTGTAGTGTGTGGTTTCGTTTTTAATATGTCCTCAGCAGTAGTCATAGATTTTATCTTCATCATTTAAGCTTTATTTTCTGGCCCACTTGCACAGATTTAAGAAAAATCTCACTGGGGTTAGTGTGCAGTCATTCAGACAGCAAATACAGCAAAAGTAGGTGAAAATGTAAAAGTCATTAAAAGAAGAATTGTGAAATTGCTCATCTCGCAACCACATCAAGCAGGAGCAAAGACAACTACACAGAATCTTGGTGTAACATACACTCATTACCACTTGGACTTTCTCCTACAGTATTTTGCAGTTTGTTTTTTGGATTCTTTAGTGTTATATAATATTTCAAAGTAATATGTGACTGGGAAATATTGGAATAGGTATCAGAAGACTGTAGAATTTATTTTGCCATTTAAATGCTTATGTCCTTGAACAAAAAATGTAAACATCTTTGACCTTCAATTTCTTGTTCTATTAATTGCCTGCTTTTTAGGTCTGATGAGAAAGGAAGAGAATATAATTTGCAAATAAAAAGAAGCAAAAAAAAAAAGCAGTAGTTTTATTGCAAGGGGCTAGATGGTGATCAAGTTAGGATATAGAAAACAATTACTTGTTCTTACATGTTATTCTGGAGAAAGATGAGATGGATACCCATAGTTACAGCAGAAGCGTAAAAAGAATTCTGTTTATGCATCATCTGTTTATGTGTTGACTTTCACCTGTATGTTTTCAAGTTTATATAGGGCTATGTGCTAAGATTCCCAATTTTCCCCTTTCATACCACTTATTATACCAGTTGCAATTAAATACATATATAATTATTAATAACTTTTTTAAAAACCTTTTTGTTTTGAGAGAATTGCATATTCAGAGGAAGTTGCAAAAAACTTTACAGGGAAGTCCTTGTGTACCCTTCAGACTGCCTGCCTCAATGGTAACAACTTGGATAACTGTGGTACGATATTAAAACTGGGAAATTGACATTGATACAATTCACAGAGTATATTTCCATTTCACCAACTTTATAAGGACTCATTTGTGTGTGTACACAGGTCTATGTGTAGCTTCTTATAACTACCGTAATCAAGATAAAGAATTATTCCATCACCACAAGGCTCCCTTATGCTGCCTCCTTATAGTCAGTCTATCTTGTCCCAGCCCTATCCCTAACCCGTGGCAACCACTGCTCTATCTCTATAATTTTGTCATTTCAAGGATATTGTGTAGATGGACTCATACCGTATGTAACTTTTTGAGATCCATCCAAATTGTGTGTATCTGTCATGCATTTCTTTATTTATTGCTGAGTAGTATTCCATGGGATGGCTATGCTACAGTTTGTTTAACCATTCATTCATTGAAGAACATTTGGGTTACACTATTATAAATAGAGCTTCTATGAACTTTTGTCTGAAGATTTTTGAGTGAACATACATTTTTCCCCCTCTGGGATAAATGCCCAAGAGTACAATTGCTAAGTCATATGGTAAGTGTATGTTTAGTGAATTAATACTTCTTTAGCTTGTTGATATGGTGAGTTACATTGATTTTAAAATGTTGAACACAACTGGTATAAATCTCACTTGGTTAAAGTATATAATTATATATTTCCATATTCTATTTGCTAATATTTTGTTAAGGTATAGGTAGAGAGGTGTGAGAGGTTAAGGTATAGGTATGAGAGATGTGTTGTAGTTTTTTGCTTGTTTGTTTTGTACTGCCTTTGTCAGGCTTTGGTAGGGTAATAGTATTCTACATGGTTTTTAGTGATAACCCTTGTTTCATTATTGCTACTGTATTAGTAATTTGTGTCATTTTATCTTTTTCAGTGATGATTTGCTGGTTATAGTGACCTTTTTCAAAGAACTCGCTCTTTATTTCATCTTTGTCTATTTTTATATTTTTAATGTCATTGATTTCTGCTCTTATATTTATTATTTTCTTCCTTCTCACTTTAGGTTTATTTTGCTTCTTGTCTAGTGCTGTGATTATTAGTTTAAGGTCTTTCTTTGTTTCTAACGTAAGCATTTATTGCTATAATTTCCCTCTTGGCATTGCTTTTGTTGCATCTCACAAATTTTGCTGTCTTGTATTTTCATTTCTATCCAGTTCTATATAGTTTAAATTTTTCCTTAGAAATTTGCTTGACCCATGAAAATATTTGGGAGTGTGTCATTTAGTTTCCAAGTGTTTGGTGATTTACCTGTTGTTTTTCTGTTGTTGATTTCTAGTTTTTTTCCACAATGATCAGAAAACATAAGCTGTATAATTTTTAATTTTTAAGTTTCTTTTATGACTGAGGGTATGGTGTATCTTGGTGGATGTTCCATGTATGCTTGAAAAGAATGTGTATTCTGTTATTATTGGTTGCAGTGTTCTATACATGTCAGTTATGTCCTGTTCATTGATGGTGGTGTTCTGTTCTTCTGTGTCTTCTTGATCGTCTAATAGTTATTTTCGTTGCTGAAGATCCCAACTATAATTATGGATGTCTCTGTTTTTCCTTTGAGCTCTGTTGGTTTTGGCTTCATGTTAAATATCTGTTGTTTGGTGCATATACATTTAAGATGTTTTCTTGATGAATTAATCCTTGTATCTTTGTACAATAATTTTCTTTGCTCTGAAGTCTACTTAACTGATGGCAGTGTAGCCATCACTACTTAAAAAAAGTAGTTAGTATGGCATATCTTTTCCATACTTCTGTTTTCAACCTACCAATGTCATTATGTTTTAGTGAATTTCTTATAGACGCTATATGCTTGGGTCTTTTAAAAAAGAAACTTCTCTGCCAATCTCTGTCTTTTAACTAGTATAGTTATATCATTTACACTTAAAAGTAATTGCTGTGTTAGGGCTTAAGCCAGCCATTTTATTATTTGTTTTCTGTTTATTTCCTGTTTTTCATATCTGTTCCTCTTTTCTGGTCTTTCTGTAGGTTGCTTGAATATTTTCAGAATTCTATTTGACATGTTTATAGTGTTTTTGAGTATCTGGCTTAGTTAACCTTTTTTAGTGTGCTTTGGGTATAACAATAGATGTAACAACTTATCACAAGGGATACTTTTATTGCCTTTTGCCAATTGAAGTTTAGAGACCTTTCTTCCATGTAGGTCCTTTCTCCTTTTCCCTTTTTAAAATTTAATATTTGTATTTTCTCTATACACCTTGAACACCACATCAAATGTTGTTATAACGTTTACTTCAACTATCAAATATGATTTAAGAAACTCATAAGATGAAGAATAGTTCATTTTATATTTACCATGACTATTACCCGTTCCAGTGTTCTTCCTTTACTCAAATTAAACCTTATTGATACATCATTTCCTTTTTGTTTGAGGAACTTTTTTTTAGGAGAACCTCCTAAAGATATGTCTGTTAGTGACAAATTAGTTTCCGTCATCTGAGAATGTTGTTCCCCTTTGTTCCTGAAGGGTGGTTTTGTCCTATATGGAATTTGGCCTTGACAGTTCTTTTTCTTTAACATTTGAAAAATGTGCCATTTCTTTCTGGCTTCCATGATTTCTGATGAGAAATCTGATGGCATTCAAATTATTGTTCCCCTTAAAGGTAATGTGCCATTTCTCTTTGGCTGCTTTTGAGATTTTTTTCTTTGTTTTTAATTTTCTAAACTTGACTTATGATGTATCTTTTATTTTTATTTTTTCCCACTTAGGGTTTTTCTCAGCTTCTTGACTCTGTAGATTTATGTCTTTTGTCAAATTGTGAAGTTTTCAGCTATTATATCTTTATTTTTTTCAGCGCCATACTTTCTTCTCTTCCTCTAAAACTCTGATTGGATGAATGTTAGGTCATTTGTTATTGTCCTACAAGTCCCTGATGCCTTTCTTGTTTCTTTGTCTGTTTTTCTGTGTTCAGACTAAGTAAATTCTGTTGATCTGTTTTCAAGTTCACTGATCCTGTTCTCTGTCAATTCCACTCCACTATTGAGCCCATCCAGCAAGTTTTTAATTTTAATTAGTATTTTTTCTATTTTGTAATTATTTTTGGTTCTTACTTTTTAAAACATTTCATCCTTCAAGGAGAGCTACTTTCAATATACATGGAATTTCTTGGAAAAACTAGTAACAGTTTTAGGTTATTTGTATATATGAACTAATGTTACTCAAGATTTTAAACCTCTGCAGAGTTATCTCTGTAATTAGCAGATGAAGCATGAACATACATAATTTTTTTCTCTTTTTGTCTCAGGTAATTCCTTGTTACAGGCCCTAATAAAAGGGAAATGGGGAAGGAAATGGAGAAGAGAATTTAGGCCTTGGCAAATTGAAAATTGTCTGTAGTATCTCACTGACAGGTAAAGTAGGAATTTTGAAATTAGAGAAAAGGAACCAGGAATGAAGATGAAATGAAAAATTTATATTTACTTCACTAAAACTTTTAAAGTTGTCATATAGTTTCAGATTTAAAAAGCTATTTCTTCCAGCCTAGGCAACATGGTGAAACCCCTTCTCTACCAAAAATACAAAAAGTTAGCCAGGCATGGTGGTGTGTGCCTATAGTCTCAGCTACTTGTGGGGCGGAGGCTGGAGGATCACTTGAGCCCAGAAGGTTGAGGCTGCAGTGAGCGAAGATTGTGCCCCTGTATTCCAGCCTGGGTGACAAAGTGAGATCCTATCTCAAAAATAATAATAAAAATAAATAAAAAATCAAAAAGTTCTTTCTCCTTTCCTTCATTTCCCTTGAAGAATACTGAAGATTTTACATAGATGACAAATTAGGTAAATCTAAGAAAAAACAAAAATTAAGTAGAACAGGTAACTTTCAGTGGCCATACTTGAGATTTAGGTTATATTGACTGCTGAGGTTTATCAGTTTGATTCCTATCCCTACAATATAATTAAAAATAAACCATGGACCCCCCCCCCCCATTGTCAGACTCACTGACAGTATAACATTGTGATTAAAAAGCTCTTTCTCAGTAAGTATGAAAAGTTAATGCATGAAAAATAATATATGTTAATTTAGTGGGGGAAAAGATGGTTTCTGTATTACAGTGGTATTAACACAAGTAGCTTTCCATCTGAAAGAAAATAAAGTTGGATCCTTATATAATGGATTAAAGGTTTAGAAGTAGAGACTAATAAAAATTAAAATAGACATCTGGGAAACAATATGTAAAATATGGAAACCCAGAAAAGAGTTAGTATCTGCATTATACAAAGTTTTCTTACAGACTGATAAGAAAAAGATAACTCACTTGGAACCTAGACAAATGATATGAAGAGACAATTTACAGAAAAGATAGTCTAAAAAGCTAACAAACATGAAAAAATGCTTAAACACACTTGTAGTCAGTGAAATGCAAATTAAAGAGTAAGGTATTTTATATCCAAAGACTGTAAGACTTACAAAGTGTGGTATCACTTAGTGATGATAGGGTTGCAGAGGGAAAGATACCATTCTACATCGCTAAAAGAATTACATTCTTTTTTTGAGAATAATCTGGCAACATCTATTAAAATTCAACCAGTAATTTCACACTTGGCAATCTGGCCTATAAAAACAAAAGCACTGGTAGATATGAATGTATGTGAGAACATAGGTATTTAAGGGTACTTATTGCAGCATTGTTCTGAAAAAACTGGGAACTAATTGAGTGCTTGGCACCAGGGAGATGGTCATATAACTTATGGTATATCCACATTATGGAACCATTAAAAATGAATTACTTATATAAACTCTTTGACTTGGCAGGATATCCATATGTTATTAAGTATGAAAGCAAAATGCATAGAAGTATATATAATATGCTACTATTTGTCAAACACTGGCAACTCATTCATGAAAAAATACATAAATGCTTAACATATATTTGTGTATAATTATAGAAGAATATGGAAGACTATACTAAGTTAATAACATGGGTTTGGGAGAGATATGGATGGTAAGGAGGAGAGGTAGAGTGGAGGCATGATGCAAAAGGTTAAAAAATTGTTTAGAAAAATCACAGCATGCATTATATCTCATTTATCCATATAAGTGAAATTATATATATGCATATAAGTAGAATTTTAAAAATAAAGAACATGAGCTCTGGAATCTTTCAGACATTTCTGGATTCAAATTCTGACTCTGCCACTTTACAACTTACTAGCTGTGTGACTTAGGCAAATTGCGTAATGTCTTTGAATCAATTTTCTCACATATTTTCTTGGGGTGGGAGGATGAAATAATAGTACCCATCTATAGGGTTGTCATCAGGATTAAATTTAGATAGCATCTGTTAAGTGCTTAGCACAGTACCTGGCTTACAGAAAGCACTCTCAGTTATTAGTTCTTACTGTTGCCTTGGTTCTTACGCTCTTGGACATTTGTTAATATCTATTTTTAAAACTTTATCACCATCCTGCCACTTTCTTGAAACACTCCTCACTGGCTTACATTACTTTACATGTCTTAGTTAATGCCTGTTTCTAATTGTTCCTTTTTATTTTGCTGATATCTTTTTTCCTTACCTATGGATATTGCTCCCAAAATATAGCAGGGGTTGCCAAAGAAGCTTTTGAATTAGGGTGACTGGGAGAATATTAGTCCATATATGGCAGCAGAGAAGTCATGATGTAGGGTTTATAGGGTTGATTTTTAAAACAAGATGATTTTGATACTTGCTCTGCAGAAGTTTTATGCATCAATGAGGCACCCAGATGAAAATGCTCAATAGCTGGAAAAACTTGACAGGAACTTGAGAAGTAGATATAAAGGATTCTCTCACTTGGCTAATTCTCGAAGTGGATGTAATCTCCAGGGGAGAGCATATAGAGAAGGGAATCCAGGGCAGAAACTTTGGGGACAGGGAATAGGAGAGGAAAAGGTTCCCATTGAGGACTGGGAGGTGGCATAGAAGCCAAAATAGAGAATTTCTTTAAGAAGCTGCTGGAGAAACTGTATGTCTACTTTGTTCTCTCTTGAGCTTTAGTTCTGTGGCTCACATTGTCTTCTGGCCTTGTTCCTTATTTTCTTGAAACTTAAACTACATTTGTAACTAATCCCAGCTTCCTTTCCTCCCACTAAATTCCCTTCTTTTACATTTCCCCCTATATGTATGTGAGGAGTGCTTTCATTCCCCTCATCTTTGGCATCAAAATCTGTCATCTCTGCCCCTTTCCCTTCCCTGGTTCTCCATATCATTACCAAGACTCTCATTCACTCCTTTTTCATTCCCACTCTTGCCTACATTTGATTGATTATTATCAAAATAATCTAAACAGGATATTTTGAAATAATCTAAACAAGATTATTTTGATAGCTGCCAAACTCTAGTGTAATCTTGTGTTTTTTCTGTCTTTCATAGTCCTCTTAAAAGAACTAGTTTAGGCCAGGTGAGGTGGCTCATACCTGTAATCCCAGCACTTTGGGAGGCCGAGAGGGGTGGATCACGAGGTCAGGAGATCGAGACCGTCCTGGCTAACACAGTGAAACCCCATCTCTACTAAAAATACAAAAAATTAGCCAGGCATGGTGGCAGGCGCCTGTCGTCCCAGCTACTCGGGAGGCTGAGGCAGGAGAATGGCGTGAACCCCGGGGGCAGAGCTTGCTTTGAGCCGAGATCGCGCCACTGCACTCCAGCCTGGGCGACAGAGCAAGACTCATCTCAAAAAACAAAAAAAAAAAACTAGTTTAATCCAGTTAATCCAGTCCCTCTGCCTTTTAAATCCACCAGATTATCTTTCCTCCAACATCTTCCCAAACTGTTCTGAGGAAGGAGATGAGGTATTAATGAGAGAGATTAGTAGGATCACCATTAATGAAATATAGTCAAATCAGTTTTTAGAAGGTTGAGTCCGGGCGCGGCCGCTCACGCCTGTAATCCCAGCACTTTGGGAGGCCGAGATGGGCGGATCACGAGGTCAGGAGATCGACACCATCCTGGCTAACACGGTGAAACCCCGTCTCTACTAAAAATACAAAAAAATTAGCCGGCCGTGGTGGCGGGCGCCTGTAGTCCCAGCTACTCGGGAGGCTGAGGCAGGAGAATGGCGTGAACCCGGGAGGTGGAGCTTGCAGTGAGCCGAGATCGCGCCACTGCAGTCCAGCCTGGGCGAGAGAGCGGGACTCCGTCTCAAAAAAAAAAAAAAAAGAAGGTCGAATACCTTTTTGGCACCAGGGACCCATTTTGTGGAAGTCAATTTTTCCACAAATGGTGGGGAGTGGGGAGTGATGGTTTTGGGATGAAACTGTTCCATCTCAGATCACTGGGCGTTAGTTTCTCATAGGGAGCATACAACCTAGATCCTTCGCATGCACAGTTCACAATAGGGTTTGCGTTCCTGTGAGAATTTAATGCCTCCACTGATCTAACATGAGGCGGAGCTCAGGCAGTAATGCTTGCTTGCCGCTTATCTCCTGCTATGTGGCCTGGTTCCTAACCAGTTCCAGACCATGGCCCAGGGATTGTGGACCCCTGTTGTATACTATGTCCCCCTCTAAAGCATTCTCAGTTCTTATCGGTGTGCTTTGAAAAAGTTCCTCAGAAGTAAAGCTTATGTGCCTTTGTGTTTAACTTAACTTTGCAGATTGTGTTTTCCAAAGATGGCCACAATAGTAACTCCCATACCACATGTTCTTTTTACAATATGACTTTGACACTTCTTCTACTGACCCCTCTCAGTAGAAATGTCACAGTCATATTGTACAAAGAACATGCTGTCTTTGAATATTGATGGGCTTCTGTCTAACATGGAAGTGATGCTATGTGACTTTTGAGGGTAGGTCATAAAAGGTGATACAACTTTAATCTGGTACTCTTGAGACATTTGCTCTTGGAACCAAGCCACCATTTTCTGAAGAAGCTTAAGTAGCCCATATTGGCAGGCCAAATGGAGAAGGCACATGCAGGTGTTCCAGGCCAACAGCCTATGTGACAACAGCATCAGTCACCAAGCATATGAACAAAGATACTTCCAGATGACTCCTGCCTCCAGTGATCAGATCACACCCAGTTCTTGAGTTTTCTCAGCTAAGGCCCCAGACTTTGGATCAGAGATAGGCTATCTTTGTTGTGCCCTTTCTGAATTCCTGACCCACAGAATCCATAAGCATAGTAAATGGTTGTCTTAAGCCACTAAGTTTTAAAGTAATATTTTAGATAGCGAGAGTAACTGGAACACCCAATGTTTCCTGAGAACACTTTATTTTCTTAAGTATGGTAACTGGTAGCTTGTGATACATGTTCCTTGGAAAACCTGTTTGTGGAATTTCTGGTTTTCTAATTTTTTAGCTTGCCATTCAAGGCCTTCATAGTGAACAGTAGGACAGCTTCGGTATTGGCCTATACATATCCAGCAAATCAGTCTCCTCCCTGAATGGTATTTTATTTATAGTTTCTGTATCAGTATTCTTTTACTCTTCTAGAAAGCCCTTATGTTTATTCGCTGATAGTCTCTTTTGTGAAGTGCCTGTTCAAATATCATTTTTCTATTGAGTTGTCTCTTACTGATTTGTAAAAGTTCTTTGTAAATTCTGGATATGTGCATGTTGGGACAAAAATCTATTTTTATATCCTGTGTGTATATATATATTTCCTAACAACAGGCTCGTTTTCAGAATACTATACATATGTGTATATATGTGTGTGTGTATATGTATAGTGTTCTCCCACTCTGTGACTTGCCTTCTGACTCTCTTAATAGTGTCTTTTGCTAAATCCAAGTTCTTAATTCTAATGGAGGATGGAATTTGAAAGTCTTTTCCTTTTTTTTTGAGATGAACTCTCACTCTGCTGCCAGGCTGGAGTGCAGTGGTGCGATCTCGGCTCACTGCAACCTCCGACTCCCTGGTTCAAGTAATTCTTCTGCCTCAGCCTCCTGAGTAGCTGGGATTACAGGCACGCGCCACCAAGCGCAGCTAATTTTTTTTTTTTTTGTATTTCTAGTAGAGATGGGGTTTCACGATGTTGGCCAGGATGGTCTTGATCTCCTGACCTTGTGATCCACCTGCCTCGGCCTCCTAAAGTGCTGGGATTACAGGTGTGAGCCACCACGCCTGGCAGTCTTTTCCTTTATGGCTCATGTTTACTATTACCTTGTTTACGAAACCTTTGGCCACCCTAAGCTCATAAAGGTATGTTCCAATGTTATCTTTTGGAAGCTTTATTGTTCACGTTTCACATTTAGATCTATAATATACCTAGTACTATATTTTGTCTGTGGTGTGAGAAAGGAGTCAAGATTCATTTATTTTCCACATGGATATCCAGTTGAACCAGCATCATTTATTTGAAAGACCTTGTTTTCCTTACTCCTCTGCATGAACGCCATTGTCATGAATCATGAAGATATATCTTTGGATTTGTTTCTGGATTCCCTGTTCTTGTCCACTGTTTTGTCTATGTTGTCTTCAATAATGGTATATTTTTATTAAACCTGGATATAGGGTAAAGTCCTCCAACTTTGTGGTTGTTCTTCAAACTTGTCTTGGCTATTCTTTTTTTTTTTTTTTTTGAGACGGAGTCTCTCTCTATCGCGCAGGCTGGAGTGCAGTGGCATGATCTCTGCTCACTGCAAGCTCCGCCTCCCAAGCGATTCTCCTGCCTCAGCCTCCTGAGTAGCTGGGATTATAGACGCCCGCCACCACGCCCGGCTAATTTTTTTGTATTCTTAGTGGAGATGGGGTTTCACCGTGTTAGCCAGGATGGTCTCTATCTTCTGACCTCGTGATCCGCCCGCCTCGGCCTCCCAAAGTGCTGGGATTACAGGCGTGTGAGCCACCGCGCCCGGCCTTGTCTTGTTATTCTTGACTTTTTACACTTCCACATACATATTAGAATTAGCTTAACAATTTCCATTTTTAAAAAAAGGAAAGGGAAAAGACCTGATTTGGATTGGAATTTTACAAATCTAAGAATTAATTTGGAGTTTATACTAGTGAGACTTCCAGTTCACGAATACAGTTTGTCCCCTCGTTATTTAATTTCTCTCAGTAATATCCAGCAAACCACGTAGCTTTCTGTGTAGAGGTCTTGCACATCATTTGTTAGATTTATTCCTAAGTATTTGATTTTTTTGATGCTGTTATAAGTGGTCTCTTTTATGTTTTATTTTCAAATTGTTTGTTGCTGGTATGTAGAAATATATTTGATTTTCATATATTGACCTTTTAGCTAATGACCATGTTGCATTCACTTATTAATTCAAATAATATATGTAAGGGTTTTTTTTTTTTTGCATTTTCTATGTATGTCATCATGTTTGTGAATAATCACACTTTCTTCCTATCCAATCTAAATATATTTATATCTTTTTTTGTTTTCTTATTGCATTGGCTGAGACCTCAAGTATAGAAGTGTTGATAGCAGACCTCCATATCTTGATCCCAAACTCAGAGAGGGTTTCAATATTTTACCCTTAGTAAACATTTACTGAAGATTTTTAATACTTGTATTATATGAAAAAAATGAATTTCATATTTATATTTTATAAAAGATTTCTTTATTTCTCACTTGTTAAGAATTTTTTCATGACTATTGGATTTTATGAAATATTTTCTGTATCAATTGAGATGATTATATAAGTTTTCTTTATTCTGTTAATGTGGTAACTTAAACTGATTAAATTTTGAATATTTAAACAACTTCTCATTTCTGATATATACACAATTTAGTTGTCATCTATTACCCTTTTGTATAGCACTAGATTTGGTCTGCTAATATTTTGAATAGTTTTTGCATCTATCTCAACCTTAATTATAATGTACATTTTAAAGTAAAAATTACAAAGAATTGCTGATTGCATAAAATGAGTTGGGAAGTGTCCCTCTTTTTCTATTCTCTGGACAACTGTATGTAAAATTGGTATTATTCCTTCCTTAGGTGTTAATTTCATCTGGACCAAGAATTTTGTCTTAAAATATAAGTTTATTAAGAGTCTTCTAGTCTGTTTTCTTTTTGTATCTGTTGGGTTTGGTTTTTTTGTTTGTTTGTTTGTTTTGGAATTTGCCCATGTCAAGTTTATTGGCATACATTTCTTCATATTTGTTTATTATTTTTTGATGTCTGTAGAATCTGGAGTGATATCCTTTTTTCACTTCTGATATTGATTGATTGTACCATCTCTTTTCTTGAGAAGTCAAGGGTTTACTTATTTATAGGTGTTTTCAAAGTAAAAACTTTTGGGTTTGCTAATCCTCTCTAATGTAAACTTTTTTTCCTATTTCATTAATATCTACTCTTCATTATTATCTTTTTTCTATTTTCTTTATTTGGATTCATTTATTTTTTTTCTAATTCCTTAGGCCAAATGGCTAAGTCCTTTATTTGCAGCCTTGTTTTCTAATATATGCATTTCAAAACTTTGAATTTTCCTGCATTCGTATCTTTATCTGCATTTCATACATTTTGTGTCCTATTTTCTATTCTCTATTGCTTCTCTGCTTTCTGCTTATTTCTATATTAATTATTTTCTATATTTTATTAATTTGTTATACAGTCTTATAAATTCTTTCAGTGGTTATGGATTTTTTTTAACATTTTTAAAAAGGTTTTCTGGCTTTTCTAATTGTTCTCAATGGAAGATTATTTGGGATGTACAGATCACCAGCATGTTTATGTTGGCTTCTAGGCCAATTTTAAAAAATGACTAAAGTAAAACTTCTGTTACCAATTAAAAATTTTGTTTTTCTGCCCTGGGCCTTTAAAAGTCAAACCTGCACTTGACCAGTCACCATATATTTTCCAAGTAGGTTTAATACTAGTGCCTAGGAATAGCACTAATGAAGGTTCAGACACATGCAAAGTATATGCTCTGCTCTGTGTCATCGTGGCACAATAACAGAGTCCACAGAATGGTCCACATTTAATATTATTATGTTTAAAGTTTTTGGCATTTGAGGAAGTTTTAGAAGCTTCCTGTTCATCTTACATATGTAATAAATAATGTAAGTTATGACTGGATATTGTTGGTACTTTAACTTGGAAAGAAAACCATCTTATTACCTCTTTTTCAAGTTTTTTTGAAAGACTGTCTGGACATTTAATTGAAAACTATTTGGACATTGCAACACAAACCTTAAAAAAGTTGTTATCATCTACAGTTCTTACATGAATAAAGCAGTATTACCAAGTAGCCAAAGTAAAATGCAGACATTTTACTGTTTGCTGAAGCTGATTAAGATGTATTATTTATAACTCCACTTTCAAATATTTTATTTATTAGTACAGTCTTACTGTTCTCAATGGCTAACTTTATAATAAATAAATATTATATTTACATAGAATCACTTAATGTATACTAAGTATATATTTAAACATATAAATAAATCAGCCCATGACTTTATATGTTTGTATTATAAATAGTATAACAAATATTATAAATTTGAACCTCTAAAATTTATACTAGTCAAATTATCTAGGTTTGTATGAGATTTAATTGGAAAAAACCCTCTTACTAAATAAAATTAGAAGCCCATTAAGCAAATTAAAACCTATATTTAAGAAAATAGGCTTGCCTAAGTTACACAGATTGTATGCACGCTTGGTTTTTATCCAGCACAAGTCTTACTGCTTATGAAAATTGATTTTATTAAAGATTGCTTATGGGCTGAGGCTGAAGGCGTGCCATTATCCTTTACCAGTATATAATTACAACGTACTCTCCTTTGTTAATCTGACAGTTATTTGCAGAACTGAACTACCTTGGATTCTTAGGTAGGGAAGAGTTTTAATTCTCGTGCCTCAGATTTTCCATTGCTGCTTTTACGTGGGTGTGTGAGATTCAGAAATACGAGAGTGAAGTAAAATAAACGATGCTTTATAAATACATGGAATTAGGTGCCTACAGGGGAAGCTATACAGCAGCTAGCCAGCATTTTAATTCCATGTTTCTCAGCTTATTTTATTTGAGGTGTTAGAGTTGTACTTTTTTGTTTTCCAATGTTTATAGACTGAGCTTGATTTTCATATCTAGTTGAATTCTCACTAATTTTGTGGCTAATCAAGCTCCCACAATGTCATTTACTTGAAGTTAAGTATTGATATTTATGATTTGAATATATTTAACAACTTTATAGTTAATAACTTTAAATTCTCTTCTGGTGAAGGTATTCAGTTTGGCCAGTGTCTTCTCAGTCAGTGCTCTAATTTAATATAGTGTTTAGTGCTAAATCTAATATTGTTTCTAACACATTATAAAGGTCAGAACTTACATAAATATACTGTAGTTTGTGATAGTTTTGGAGAATGGGCTACAGTGGCATTTATTAGTGAAGTAAAAATTCAGTCCATAAGAAAATATGAAGTGATACTTTATTTAGTCCATATATTTTTAATGGACAGTGGTCTCCACTTTCTAAGTGGGGATTTTTCATTTTTCTAAGTATTCTTAAGAGAATCAGTTTTGGACTTTTGGTTAAACATAGAGGTTAGAATAAATATGTTTATTTCTTCCTAAATTCACTAAATTAACAGAATAAACAATAAAGGAATAAACAAAGAGAATGAAAGAGGCAATATAACATCAGGCTAGAGAAGTGAAATTTTAGAAATGTTAGAAAAGAAATGCATAAATTATAACCAACTTAGAGCAGTTTTGATGGAACATAATATTTGATCATTATATTGAGTTACAATTTATTTAATTATTCCTTAATATCGAGTCATATATATAATTTTTTTAGTGTCTGATAATGGGTTATCATAATTAAGCATTCATCTATCCATGACCATTTAGTTTTTTCAGCTTTTCACTGTTATAATTAGCATTCCATGCATCAGTCTTAAAATATTTTAGGTTTTTTTCAGAATTGAATGACTGAATCAAAGTTTATACCTTTTATGAGTATTGATCCATGCTGCCAGATTGCTTTGCAAAGCCATTTTTATGATTACCATCAATGTGTGGAATTTCCCATTTCACTACAACCTAGCCAACATTGCATTTGCCTTAGGATGTTCAATCTGGGCAGGGACACATAGCCCTTGCATCAGTTGCTTGTCTGTGGTGCTGTGGGAAAGTGTGGCATGACATGACAAATTTTACCAGGTGAAGCTTAGCTGTGTGCCTTTACCACTGCCACCTTATAATAAAGACAGATGCTGTGAGTTTAGAGGAAGAGGTGATTTCCTTTGTTTACCTGGGGTGCTCAAGGAAGGCTTCATGTAACAAATAGAATTTGAGCTGTGTATAATGAGGGAAAGATTTATAAAGAAAAATTTGCACAGACACATGAGAGATATATCAGTCTGGATCAAATCAGAAGACAGAAGCCACATAGTAACTAAAATTGTTAGTTTAACTTAAAGAATTATTAGGGTATGATAAGAGAAAAACTATGAAGTCACTCTATAAGGAGAACTCCAAAAGTTACCCTAGGGCTGAGGAAAAGTACCCAATGAAGGACGGAATTGAAATGAGGTTCAGACCTCATTGAAAGTGTGGCTATAGCCCATTGGATGGTAGAGAAATTTGCTGCGTTGTCTGAGCCAACGCTGGTGCACAATCACAGTGTGAGCAGGTGAGTTAAGACTGGTAGGAGAGCATGCAGAGGGAATCAGGGCAGTGCGGCAGGGCCACAGTAACAACCCTTGGGGTGCAAGTGAGTTGAGGTTGGCTAGTTAGTAGAAGGAGTTGGAGCACCACTTTAGATACCACTGGAATTGCAAGTTGGAGAGGCCTCCCTGTGTAGCAATCTAGAGCACTGCTGTTTACAGCTTGGGGCAGGACAGTATACCAAGCTGCTGTGTGGAACAAAGGTCAGGTGGCTGGCTGGCCAAGCCGGTGCATATGGTTTGAGGAGAGGGGCTGGGGAGTAGCCACCTGGTCTGGGGCTCCTGGCTATAGTGCTGCTGCTGCCTGAGTAGAGAGCTGGAGAAAGAAAGCACACAGCCGCTAGCCAGATGCTGGAGAAAGCTTTCCCCTGCAGGCACCTAGTACTACAGCAGTGTTGTTTTTCAGCCTTGGCATTATTGACCTTCAGGGCTGGATAATTATTTGTTGTGGGGAGCTGTCCTGTGTATTGTAGGATATTTGGCAGTATCCTTGGCCTCTATTCACTGTATCTCAGTAGTTCCCCAAGTTATGACAATGGAAAATAATCTCCAAATATTGCCATATGTCCTCTGAGGGCAAATTGTCTCTAGTTGTGAACCACTGCAATAGAGAAATCTCACAGCAGTGGAACAGTGGAGGGGTAAAATATAAGCTCTCCAGAAACCTGCTGAGAAAACTCCTTCCCTCCCTTTCCAGTGCACTGTATTGACAGAGCTTAGCATCATGTCATACTGGCAAATGAAAAATATTTTAAAGGCCCAGATCCACTTTTCCAGATAAGACAATGAAGAATGAATTTGGAGTAGAGAGGTAATAAACTGATAGCTGTACAAAGTACAGTTATGGGATTAAATATGGTTGGAGAATTAAATATGAGCAAAGTTATAGAAGCAGAAAAGCGTAGGGGCACTAGGGAAATTCAAGGACAAGAAGACTAAAGTGCAAGGCTGATGTAAAGTGGTAAGAGGAGAATAAGCTAGAAGGGCCCTTTGAATCTTAACTCTGGAGTGCTTTGAGTGAGTGGAAGAGAGGGGAAGAGAAAGACAGAAAGACCAATGAAGGTTTGAGATTTGGTGCTGTCAGTAGATGAGGAAGGCAGAGGCAGAGGTGGAGGAGTGATAGAAATAATTGGGACCTACATTTTTGCACATAACTAATTACTCAGGAAATGGTTCATGATAGTATATCCTGGGTTTTTTCCCACCTATCCATTTCATAATTTAATGTAGTGCTTTAATACATAAAATATGCTTATTGGGGCTGGATGTGATGGCTCATGCCTGTAATCCCA
The DNA here is from genome assembly GCF_000001405.40 of Homo sapiens. Taxonomy (NCBI): domain Eukaryota; kingdom Metazoa; phylum Chordata; class Mammalia; order Primates; family Hominidae; genus Homo; species Homo sapiens. The sequence continues at coordinate 20,802,326 of NC_000002.12, read as the reverse complement.
GCACTTTGGGAGGCCGAGGTGGGTGGATTATCTGAGATCAGGGGTTCAAGACCGGCCTGGCCAACATGGCAAAACCCCATCTCTACTAAAAATACAAAAATTAGCCAGGCGTGGTGGTACGTGCCTGTAGTCCCAGCTACTCAGGAGGCTGAGGCAGGAGAATTGCTTGAACCTGGGAGGCAGAGTTTGCAGTGAGCCAAGATCATGCCACTGAACTCCAGCCTGGGCAACGTATATATGTATATATATATACATGTATATTGTGTGTGTATATAGATAGATAGATATAGTATGTGTGGATATGTATGTATATGTATATATACATATATATACACACATATTCATACATACACACACACACACACACATACACACACACACACACACACACACACATAGAATTTGGGAGAAGAGAAGAGTAATATGAGGAAATAAGAGACCATAGGGAGTTCATTGTCCCTCTTACTCTTCTATGGAGTGAATGCAAGGGCAAGCCAGAACCTCTGCACTTTCTCACCAGGTGAAGGTAGGGGAACCTGTCTCATGGTAATGCACAGAGCTAAAAGAGAATTCTAGCAGAGGGAATTTGTGGAAGTTACGGTTTTGACTCAAACCCCTCTATAGTCTTTCATTTTTCCAAGGATATGTCTCCTCCTTTCTAAGTACTTTCGTGGCTTGTTTTACGTGTCTTGCAATCGTATAATCCAGCATCACTGAATAGTCTTATAGTTTCCCAGATGTCCTTGTGGCATTTCCTTCTAGGTATATTGAAACTTGCCCTTTTTTATTCTTGAATTTTGTCTTTGGCTCAAGGTTTTACATTTTACTGACTCTTCATACTACTTTTCTCCCCTTATTTAGAAATGGACTCAGAACTCAAGGAAGAAATTCCTGTGCATGAGGAATTCATTTTGTGTGGTGGAGCCGAAACCCAGGTTCTAAAATGTGGGCCCTGGACAGACCTCTTTCATGATCAAAGTGTCAAAAGGCCTAAGCTGCTTATTTTCATTATTCCTGGTGAGCGTAAAAGTCTGGGTGAGGAGACTTTTTGTAGATACTCATAACTATGTCTGATTTTAAAGTATAGAGAATTTGGTAAATATGGAAAACCTTGGAGAAGGAATTAAAATCGCTTGACCCATTGTTAACAACCACCCTTAATATTTTGACGTCTGGATTTTGTGTTTTTCTTCTATGTATTTACATTATGTTGTCTGTTGTGTGTGTGTGTGTGTGTGTTTGTGTCACAGTTGGAAGTATGTACTATATATGCAGTTTTGTAATGTGGTTTTTAAAGCATTTCTTAATATTTAAAACTTCATCAATATTTTTGCCAGTTTTCTAAACTTTTTCTGCCTCATTTCAACATGATTATATGTTTATTATAGAATATTTGGCCAGGTGCAATGGCTCACGCCTATAATCCCAGCACTTTGGGAGGCTGAGGTGGGTGGATCACAAGGTCAGGAGATCAAGACCATCCTGGCTAACATGGTGAAACCCCATCTCTACTAAAAAACAAAAAATTAGCTGGGCGTGGTGGCACATGCCTATAGTCCCAGCTACTCGGGAGGCTGAGGCAGGAGAATTGATTGAACCTGGGAGGCAGAGGTTGCATTGCCCCCAGATCACACCACCGTACTCCAGCCTGGGGGGCAGAGCGAGACTCCGTCTCAAAAAAATATTTAAAAAAATAAAAAATAAAAAAATAAAAATTAAAAATTAGAATATTCTGATATTTGGCAGCTGAGTCACTTGTAACTTTTGCTAGATCATTGTCAATAGAATTAGGGACAGATGCTTGAGCGATTGCAGGTATTCAAAATGCATTTTAAATTGTGAGTTTGAACATACATGTTTATTCTTATTCTGTGAATTGCCAGTTCGAAACCCTTGCCCATTTTTCAATTGTGTTTTCAATGTTTTCCTTATTGATTTTCAGTTGATTCTTACACAACTGTAAAATTGTGTTATATCTGTCATACGTGACAAGAATCTTTCCTGGTTTGTCTTTTGACATCATTTACAATGTTTATTTGGTTGTATAGAAAGTATCTTTGTTATGTGGCCAAAATGCTAAGTCTCTTCCTTTAAGACTTCAGGGTTTTATGAGTTTCTTAGAGAGGGCTTTCCTACTCCAAGATTATAAAACAATTCTGCCATGTCTTCTAGTATTTTTACAATTTCATTTGTGATCTTTAAGTTGATGCATCTAGATTTTAAGGGCAGGCACTGAGGAAGGGATCTACTTTTCTTCTCCCTCTCCTTTGGATGGCTTATTACATGGTCCACAACCATTTATTGTATCATCTGCCTTTCTCCTACTGCCTTGCAATGCTAACTGTATTGTAAAGTAGATTATCCTGTGGCCAGGAGTTTCTTTCCATGTTTTTCGCCTCTTCATGTGTTCTTCATGTTTTTTAATAAATGCAGTTTTATGATACTTTTACATATTTTTTGGAACTTGTTCATTTTTATTCTTTTCCAGAATATTCTTTAGCTTCTTTTCTTTTGGCTGCAGAATATATTTTTTGGCTTCATTAGGAGGAAAAAAAAAGCTTAAATGATCTTTAAAGTCAACTTTCCTAAAATTGATCTCGTAAAGGCAGAGTATAATGATAGATACTAAAGGCTGGGAAGGGTGCAGGGCTGGGAGGAGGGATGAAGAGAGAGGTAAACAGGTACAAACATGCAAGTTAGATGAAAGGTGTAAGTTCTATTGTTGGAACTTATTTATACCAACAGAATTGGCATAGTCGGCAGAGTAGACTGACTATAGTTAACAGTAGTGTATTGTATTGGTATAAAGTAGCTAGAAGAGAGGCCTTGGATTTTTCTCAACACATAGAAATGATGAATACTCAAAGTGAATGTACTAAAACACCCTGACATGATCATTACACGTTCTATACAGGTAACGAAATATCACATGTACCCCATGAATATATAACATAAATATCAATATCTTTAAAAAAAATAAATAATAACCAAAAAATCAGCTTTTCTAGTTCCAACAGATGTTCTCAGAGGCAACCACTTTTAACACTGGTATATTCCTGTGATATTTATTCCACATTCTTTTTTGTTTGTTTGTTTGTTTAGACAGAGTCTCACTCTCTTGCCCAGACTGGAGTGCAGTGGTATGATCTCAGCTCACTGCAACCCTCCACCTCCTGGGTTCAAGAGATTCTCCTGTATCAGCCTCATCAGTAGCTGGGATTACAGGTGTCTGCCACCATGCCTGGCTAATTTTTGTAGTCTTAGTAGAGACAGGGCTTCACCATGTTGGCCAGGCGTGTGTCGAACTCCTGGCCTCAAGTGATCTGCCCACCCCAGCCTCCCAAAGTGCTGGGATTATAGGCATGAGCCACCATGCCTGGCCTTTACTCGTTTCTAAATGAAATACTTATATTTCTTCTTCTTCAGTTGTCTTTTGTTTTGTTTTGAGATGGAGTCTCTCTCTGTTGCTTAGGTTGGAGTGCAGTGGTGTGATCTCGGCTCACTGCAACCTCCGCCTCCCGGGTTCAAGCAATTCTCCTGAGTTTTTAATATTAGATGTTATCTATTGTCTTCCTCCATGAAAGAAAAAGATTAGCTTTCTTATACTTTCCCTTCTCCATGCACAATCATATACCCCTCCTTCTCCATCTATTTTCCTAGTATGGGAATATTTCAGTTTTTTGTTAGGTCAATATTCAGTGCTTTTATTATTATGACTATGTATTATATTATATTATGTATATTATATTATATTATATTAATTATATTATACATAGCTAAGCCTATAGGGAATTGCGCATGCATTTCCTTTCTTATATATTTTTGTTTGTTTTCCCTGGGTTAATGATGTTCTGTTATCTTTTTGCTTAGTTTTTTGTGCTTTAATCACTCATTTATCCTAGAACTATTCTCTAGAAGTGAAAAGAATCCTTTCAATGCATTTGAGTCATCAGTCAGTTTTCAGAATGCTCTGTCCTTTGGCTCCAGTCTGGACTCATTGCTCCCCAGGCCTGCTGCACAGTTGCCATCCTGGGGACTTCTGTCACTTTCTTCTGGCTTGGATCCCTCGTTTCTCAGATCCCACATTTTTATCTTAGTTTATTCTCTTGTTTTTGGTAGAGCATATCTTCTAGTAGCTTCCTTAGAAGAGGTACATGAGAAGTAACACAGCATGCTGCAAAATGTCTTAGACTCTAGGTTGGAAATAATTTTTCTTTAGGAGGAAAATGGAGGGCGTTAATGGAGGGCATTAATCATTGTTTTCCAACACTCAGAGCTGCTTATAAGAAGTATTGGTATCATTTCTGATTTTCGCCTTTTGTATGTGAAGATTCTCTACCCACATTTTCGAGACCTTTTCTTTGTTCTGAGATTCTGAAATTTTACAGTGAAGCACCTTGGTGTGACTGTTTTTTCATACAAGGTACTTGGGTTTTGGTGGGCCCTTTTAAGCCAGAAACTCATTTCATTCTAATAGCGCTTTGTTTTTCTTTTCTTTTTTGTAGTCTCATGTTTAATGGATGCAATATCATTTTCTTTTCTTTTCTTTTTTGTTTTTGCATTTGCAAGAATTTTCACTGTGTTCCTTTTTTCATTTGCATTAGTCTTTAGTTTTCCTCAAATGTCTGGCAATCCTTGACTATCCATTCATGTTTAAGAGGAAGACAAAAAACAAATTGGAAGCTTTGCACTCAGAGCTGGGGCTTATCCAGAGGTGTGTCTAGGGTGATTAGCCATCCTAGCTTGCCTAGGACTGAGAGGTTTTCTAGGACATAAGACTTTCAGTACTAAAACCATGACAGTCTCGGGCAAAACAGAGGAGTTGGTCGCCCTAGGTGGGCCTCATCCTAAGGTGATTGAGTAGGGACCCAGCATTTCATTGACGGATTTCCAGCTTTCAGTGTCTGAAGCTCTTTCTTTTATTGTTCAGTTTTCCTGGGGAGGAATCTTCCAGGCTCCTGTTTGAAGAGTGGAAACCTGTCTGTTAATGTTCAAAGAGGAACAGGGGAAAGGAGGTGGTAGTTTCAGTGTTTGGTTATGCCTAGTCCAGCCTCTTCTCAGTATGGTACTTTCATTCTCAGCTGGACTAAGATTCCTGATCGAGAATTTCTCTTTGTTTTAACCACTAATGGGAATAAACTATTCTTCTGCCAGGATGTAACAGTCTTTGTGGAAGTCAGTCCGTTCAGCATCTATTAACATAAAAATACATGTACTTTTCCAGTAGTGAAGGAGAGTTTGAAATTATAGTCATGGCAAGTGCTGTTTGATGGAGCAGAGATTTGGAATAGCTTATAGCATAGGATAGAGAAAATAAGTAGAAACATTATCTTAAACTCGAGAAGGGATATCCTTCTAAGGCTAGAAAGAAGGAGGTGAAATTGGTTACTAAAATGGAAAAGTATAAAGGCGTATCAGAGGGAAGTGAAGTCTCCTGCTTCCTGACTACTGTTTTTTCTGTTGAGAGTTGAGACCATGTTTTGAATGCTAATCATTTCCAGCTCATGAAAAGATACTAGGCCTGTGGTTCTTAAAGTTGGTGTCAGGATCAGAAGTATTGCTTGAGAACTTTAAAAATGCAGTTCCTGGGCTCTATCCCTGACCTTCTGAACCAGAAAGTCTGGGGGTTGGGCAATCAGTGTTTTAACAAGCCCTGCAGGGAACTGTGATACGCATATCTGATCCAGGGTGTAGTCATGGGAATGAATTGCTTAAGTTTAATGTAGGTGAAGTTCTTTGGATTTCATCATAATAATGAATTATGGGACAAAGTTTTTGGCTCAGTCAGTCCAACTGGATTTTGAAATGTCCTGACATGACATGACAAGTGAAACTGTCATTTAAGGGTCAAGGCTTTCAGAGAAAGTGTGAGTGACTAAAAAGTTGATAGATGGAAATAGATGGCTTGAGTCTTAAAGAAGAAGAGGTTGTTGTAATAGTGAGGTGAAATAGTAAGTGGGACAGACAACCCACCCACTTCCCCACCTGGAGATAGTATTTATTCCCTCACTCTTTTATCCCAGGTGCTAGGAATACTGTGTTGCATTAAGTCTTTGCTCTCATTGAGTTATATGTGGTGTTAGAGAAGAGTGACTGAGGCCTCTGCTGAAGAGGATTGAAAGGAAGAGAGCCCATTACAGGGGAGAGCCAGATTTCAGATATGGTGAGGAGATAAAGGGAGTATTCAGTGAAGACACTGAGAATGGAGGGAAGCATAAAACATTTGTAGTTTGATAGTCTCATTGTTTATAGTGCTTTGACATTTTCAGATCATATTTCATTTCCTAGTGTTCTTTTATGTTTGCCCTGCTCATTAGTTTGTGGGATTTAGAATTGTATTTTGTGTGTGTGTGTGTGTGTGTGTGTGTGTGTGTGTGTGTGGCAGGTTTCGGGGGAGCTAATCTATTTACACTGTGGTAATAATCAGGATAACAGTATTTCAAGGATTGTGAAGCCACTATGGACACCATGTTATGTCCGTCTCTGATAGACTGACATAACATTTCATTTTAAATCACATTGCTTTTGCAGCTAGCAAAATTAATTCTTCACTTCTAAGTTAGTAATGATAATTGTGAGTTTTCTTTTCTTTTTTGTAGTCTGATGTTTAATGGATGCAATATCATTTTCTTTTCTTTTCTTTTTTTTGCATTTGTAAGAATTTTTACTGTGTTCCTTTTTTGATCAGAATCCACAGATTGAAGAACTTTTAATTTAGTTTCATTTTTTCTGATGAACCTTAGATCTTGGATTTCTGTAAAGTAACATTGTCCTTGGACTTTCTTTAACTAGTGAGATGAACAAAGGGAATCAGATTGAGAACTCACCATAGAGTACACTGAATCATAATTCTTAGGAGGTCATATGGAGATAACAGAACCATGTGAAGTATCAAGTGCTGTGAGCACAGTGGTTGGAGATATAGCAGATAAGGCTCCATGAATGAGTCCAATAGGTCTGTCTACATGGCAACCTATTATATAGATACTGTGCCATATTAACTTGATATGTGGCAGTTTTCGTTCCTCTCCCTACAAAATTAACTGGAAGGTATAAGTCTATACTTGCAGCATTGTATAGTTGGAGATTATTAGCAGTCAGGGCCTAGAGATGATCACTACAACTTCTGTTATACATTGCATGGGTATTTGACTGATTTGACTGTTATGAGCATGTTCAAGTGTGTGTTTATAACACATTTTTATGTAAACTTTTGATTAAATATTTTACTTGCATGTCTGCATTGGAATGTTTTCCAACATCCTTACACCTGGACCTCTCCCATACCCCTCCGTGTGTGTGTCTTTTTTAGTTGCATAAGTGTAGGCCTTTTAATTTTCTTTGTGGTTTCTTAACAAGGAGGTTTAAATGGTGAAGTATGAAGTACTGTATGCAATGGTATTTAAGCATTTTGCATTGCATTTTCCACTTCTGTCTCTGTTATAAGTTAGACCTTTGTGATACTTGCTATGCGTTCAGTTTGAAAGGATTTATTGTATGTGAGTGCCATGTACCCAATCTAGTGCTGCTTGGTGCCACTGGATACAGAGAACTATAGCAAGTGATGGCTACTTTTAAAGAAGTTAAACTTTCAAGTTTGGTACGTTATACATGCTACAATGTTAAGTATATTTCTGACAGGATAAAACTTCCATTTTTTTCTGCATCTGTTGAGGATCGTATGGTTTTTCTTTTACGGTTGGTTAATGTGGTGGATGATGTTAATTTTTGAATGTTAAACCAATCCAGCATTCCTGTGATAAATCCCACTTGGTCATGATGTATTATGCTTTTAACATTTTGATGGACTCAGTTTGCTAAAATTTTGTTTAGAATTTTTCCATCTTTGTTCACGAGGTATAGTGGTCTGTAGTTTTTTCTTTTTCTTTTTGCAATGTCTTTATGTGGTTTTGGTATGAGGGTGATGCTGGCCTCATAGAATGAGTTAGAATATATTTCTTTCTTGATATGGTTTGGCTGTGTCCCCACCCAAATCTCTTCTTGAATTGTAACTCCCACAATTTCCACGTGTTGTGGGAGGGGCTCAGTGGGAGGTAATTGAATCACGGGAGCAGGTCTTTCTCATGCTGTTCTTGTGATAGTGAATAAGTCTTATGAAATCTGATGGTTTTATAAAGAGGAGTTCCCCTGCACACACTCCCTTTCTTTTTGCCTGCTGCCATCCATGTAAGATGTGACTTGCTACTCCTTGCCTTCCACCATGATTGTGAAGTGTCCTCAGCCATGTGGAACTGTGAGTCCATGAAACCTCTTCTTTGTGTGTGAGTTGCCCAGTTTCGGGTATGTCTTTATCAGCAGCATGAAAACAGACTAATACATTTCTCTTCTATTTTCTGAAAGAGTTTTTATACACTGGGCATTTTTCTTCCTTAAATGTTTGATAGAATTCACCAGTGAAGCTGTGTGGGCCTGGATTTTCTTTGTGGGAAGATTTTTAACTTAAATTCTAATTAATCCAATCAATTTAGGGCTATTTAGGTTATCTGTTTCTTCTTGAGTGAACTTTGATAGTTTCTGTCTTTCTAAAAGTTTATTTTATCTAAGTTGCTAAATGTATTGCTATGAAAATTTTCATATTTTTCCTAATTACTCTTTTAAGATAGAAGACTTTTTTTAAATTTAAATCTGATTATGCCTTAACCCTGCTCAATCTCTTTTAATGTTACTTAGATTAAAAGCCAAATTACTTATCATGGCCCAAAAGGTATCACATGATTGTATTTCTCTTCCTCTTCAACCTGATCTCATACAAGATTTGATATCTCTTGTTATGCTTTAGCCACACTGATAGATTAGATGCAAAGGGAAGAACCAAGGATTATGGACTGTCTTCCATTTCTTCAAGAGCTAAGATCTTTATTTCTTGAGGGCCTTTGAATTAGCTCTTCAAGAGCTAAGATCTTTATTTCTTGAGGGCCTTCTCCCTCCTTAGTATTTATTCTCTTCCCTCAAATTTTCACAAGGCTTATTTCTTGTCATTTTGGGGTCTTAGCTAAATGTCACCTCCTCAGACCTTTTTTTCACTCTATTCTCTTCCCTTCTCTATCATGTGACCCTGTTTATTCCTTTTATAGGAGTTCTCACACTCTTTATCTCACCTATTTAGTTATGTGTTGTATATTCTCCCACTAGTACATAAATTCCAAAAAGGCCCTCATCTGTCTTTTGCCTGACATAGTGACTTTCATACAGTAAGTGCTCAATAAATAATTGAGGGCTAAAAGAAGCTGTAATTCTGAATAGAATTAATGAACATAAGTAATTGGCATCATCATTTACTTGATGATGATAAAATTGTGGATCAGAAAGCTTAAGAACTCAGACTTAATCCCAGAGATAGGGAGAAAACTTTGTTTTATTTATTTATTTATTCTTCCTCATTTAAAAAAATATGTTAAGTTCTGGGATACATGTGCAGAATGTGCACGTTTGTTACATAGGTATACATGTGCCATGGTGGTTTGCTGCACCTGTCAACCCATCATCTAGGTTTTAATGCCTGCATGCATTAAGTATCCATTATCTAGTACTCACTGTTTTTCATATATCGTGTCATTGTAACTTACATCTAAATCATGGGGTTATCTTTAGTGTCTCCTTAATGTTACACCAGTTTTTAATTGTTATAATAGCTGTGGTATTAATAGCTGCCATTTATTCAGCCCCTACCATGTGCCAAGTTTTGTGCAAGTGGCTATCCATTCGTTATTTCTAATGAAAATGCCAACTACTTTATAGAGATATTGTAAGACTAACTAAAACAAGGAAGGCAGAAGATCCTACACCGGATTACTGATGTTTTTTAAAAATTCAGTATTATGATTTTCTTTTGTATATACTTTCAGTCATCAAATATTTATTTAGCACTTACCATATATGTGATGTTGGCTAAGTTATTTAACCTCTCTGTACTCAGTTTCCTCATCCATAAAATGGAAGTAATGATAGTGCTACCTCATATGATAATTAAATAATATATGTAAAGCACCTAAACACTGCCTGGCATGTAGTAAGTTATAGTACCTAAAAATATTAGCTATTATTATTTTCTAGCCATATGAAGAAATCTATGAGCAACGTAAGACATGTGAATATGAGGTATAACATATTCCTAGAAGGTTATACTCAGTAATATAAAAATATAAAATTTTTGTAAAGTAATATATTAATGAGATGAAATTTTAGTCACAATCCCAAAGAGATTTTTAAGAATTGAAACTAGTGAAAATAACCCTAAAGTTTATGAGAACAGCCTAGAAAATTTAGAAAAAGAAAAAGGGAAGGGATTTGCCCTACCTGTTAACACTTAAAAAAAAATGTAGTAATTAAGACAGTATGGTCCTGGCAGAGGAGAAAAGGAAAAATAAACTGAATTATTTGGTATCAGAATTAGCAAGTGAATGTAAAAATGTAGTATTGGGTCTGAAGATATTTCAAATCAATGCAGAAAGAATGGATTATATAATAAATGGTCTTGGAACAATTGGCCAGTCACTTGGAAAAAAGTTGGATTGCTACTTAGTATTTTATACTAAAAAGTATTCTAAACTTACTGAAGACTTAAATGCATAAAACATGAAACAGTGCCACCCACAGCTTCCATAGATGTTATAGCCCCTGTGCTGGTATGCCCTTCCTCCCTTCTTTCTTCCTTAGCTATACAGTGGCCAATAAACTGACCAAAGAATATATTTCTGCATTTGAGGAAGTTTTCATCCTATTTGACAAAGAAGCCAAAAGCACCATCACAAAAAGGAATTTGGAACTTGGGTCACTAGGTCAGAATGCAACAGAAGCAAAATAATATGGATGCTACGGCCGTTGTATATTACCGTTATAGCTAGACGTTGTTGTACAAGTTTGAATACCTAACATTTATATAATACTTGCTGTGTTTCAGGCAGTGTTACAATGCTTTGTACATTGATTCACTTAGTCTTCAAATGAGGTAGTACCATTATTACACATTTTGTGGATGAGGAAACCAAGGCAGAGGGAGGTTAAATAGCTTGGCCAAAGCTCACACAGTTGGTAAGTGGCAAAGCCAAGATTCCAACCCAGGTAGTCTGGCTTCAGAGTCTATGCTCTTAACCACTTTACTACACTGCTTATCTAGCAAACTGAAAGATATAAAAATGGAGTAGAAATCAGTGAAATTCGACAAGGATGACAGTGGTTATTTACATCAGTGCTCCAGAGCCATGTCATGTAATTGCAGAGACCAGAAAGCCTAACAACATGAAGAAATAGATAAACTGATCAGAGAAATAGATATTGATGGAAATGGACTAGTAGCTGTGAAGACTTTATATAGATGATGATTACAAGATGAAAATCCCATTTCGTTGTAATTTCCCCCCTACAGATCTATCAGATTGAATGTTTTTAAAAAGATCGTTTATTTATTGTTTCTTTATAGCAAACTCATGTCAAAAATACCTTCTGTACACACATAAGAAAAATCTACATGTACTTGTAGACGTTTGTTTCCCCAAAAGATCAAGCTGTACACCTGTTTACAATTATAAGTGCTAGTGATAAGTGACAAGGAAACAGTAGACTCCTTAAAGCTCTCCCTGTGCATGCTTCTTACACTATTTTGGCTGGCTTGTTTTTCTGGTTTTCATGCATCTTGTTAACTGAGCATGACCAAATCTTGAAGTGCCTTATATGCAGTATTACTGATTTTAGACTTCTTCCAGATGACTTTATCTGGAAGACACTGAAGGGTGTTTAAATAGGGTACTGCTGTGATTTTAATGGAAGTTTGAAGATAATCTCTCTTGGGTACTCTGAAGAATTCAGAGGAAAGTGTGAAAAGAAACAGACCCATCTTTTCTAGCCTGCGTGTCATCTTATGCCTGTTTATTACTTTGATTAATCTAAGGTCTGTGTTTCTTTTCTTAGGTAACCCAGGTTTTTCTGCCTTTTATGTGCCATTTGCAAAGGCTTTATACTCTTTGACAAACAGACGCTTTCCAGTTTGGACTATCAGTCATGCTGGGCATGCGTTGGCTCCCAAAGACAAGAAGATTCTTACAACATCAGAGGGTATGTCCTTGTTAATATCTACTTTCCTTTAGAGTGAGTGCAGGGTCATGTTTCTAGCAAGCTTGCTAAGGTTAAGAGTTACACCAGTGGAAACCTCTGCTTGTGGCATTAGGCCCATGGTGCCATATTTTGGTAAACTTAGGATTTTTAGAGACATTTTAACTCTTCATGTAATTTTCTGTAAGAATATGGGTAGATAAAACAATCTATGACTTGCCTTCTTTATTTACCAATTAGTAATCAACTGTGTGTTTTTTGATCATGTATTATTTTTCCAGGGTTGTTCTAGGAGGAATGGTGGGGAAAAAGCAGTCCCCAACCATTTTGGCCTCTGGGAACCAGTTTTGTGGAAGACAATTTTTCCACAGACTGGGGAGGGGTGGATGGTTTCGGGATGAAACTGTTCCACCTCAGATTAACAGGTGTGCAACCTAGATCTGGCATGCACAGTTCACAGTAGGGTACTCCTATGAGAATCCATTGCTGCCGCTGATCTGACAGGAGGCAGAGCTCAGGCGGTAATGCTCACTCGCCCGTCGCACACCTTCATCTGTGTGGCCGGGTTCCTGACAGGCCACAGACAGGGGTTGGGAACCCCTTTTATAAACCATGTTCTTTACTTTAAAGAAGCTTTTTCTCTCATATTTAGAGAATAATTAAGTGATAAACCGTGGCCTGCTAATCATATAGACACCTAAGGGGTAAACAAAGGAGAAAACACAGTGTGGGTTAGGAGAGACTTTGTGGAGTAGGCATGTGTCTTAGTCAGTTTGGGCTGCTATAGCAAAATACCATAGACTAAGTAGCTTTTAAAAATGGAAATTGATTTCTCATAGTTTCTTGAGACTGGACGTCCAGTCCAGTCTGCACTGGCAGATTCGATGTCTGATGAAAACCTACTTCCCGATTCACAGGTGGCATTCTTGCTGTCCTCTCGTGGTGGACACAGGAGGCAAGCCCTCTTGGGACTCTCGCGGGCTCTACCCTCATGACCCCATCTGATCCTAATTACTTCCCAAAGACCCCTCTCCACCTCTTAATAGCATTTGGGCATAGGGTTTCACCTATGGATTTGGGGGCCATATAAGCATTCAGACCATTACAGCTGGTTTTCACAATTGAATAAAATTTGGATTTAGGGCATGGAGGTGGGTGCAGAGGTACAACAGACAGAAAGAGTAGCACAGAAGGGAGCAAGATTTAATAGCGATGTTACTGCTAAGCAGGGCCAGTTTGAGAGGGACTTTGAGAGCTGGAGAGAGAGCCAGGACTCCATGCTGGAAGGTTTCTAAATGGAAGAAGTAATACCATGGAGATGCAAACTACCTCCTTTAAATCTGTGAGAATTCTAGCATGTTCACTGTTCCAAAAAATAAAAAATGAGAGAAAAAATAACTTAAATATAAGTTTATAAAACATAAACATAACTTTATAAAAGTACAGCATATCCAAGAGTTGAAGGACACTTTCAAAAGGTGTAACAATTGGAATGCTCTATAGGCATTCCATTCAAGGGCGTTTTGTCCTAGGGGGTTTCCTTTAGTTAATTTGAGGTGAGATCGAGGTGGCTGTGACTTCATTGCCCAGTTTGCTTCTGGTTCTTGTACGTCTCTCTAGTGGTATGAGCATCTTTTTGTGCTTATTGAGCTTCTCAGTTTTAAAGATATTTTACAATAAAGTTACATTTTACATCTATAGTCTTCGTTATTATATATGCATGATTCTTTTAGACATTGATGTACAAGGTTGAACATACAAAAGCCTGTACTCTTTGAAGGCTAGTTTTGATTATATTTATTTTTAATTGTAATCTCTGACCTCAGCCTCTGATCCTCATATCAGATACAATTTTTTGTTTCTATTTTAAAATTTGAATGTGGTGGCAATAAATATGGCTGCATATGTGAACTCCTCTGAATACTTTCTGAAAAACATTAGTTTACTAATCTGTTATTAATTTGTGTAAATGTTGCACGTCAGATAAACAGTATCAATTTATCTAGTTTTATCTAATTGTTAACCTTGTATTTTGCAACTGACCCTTTAGCTGCAGGGAGTATGTTGTATAATTTTCTATTTATTTTCAAAATGGATTACCTTCCTTTATTGTATTTTTAGATTAAAAAGTTATATGTGCTTATTAAACAATTTAGTATGGAAAACTGAATAAGAAAATAAAAAATCGGTGTCCTGTAAGTTAAAGGTTGAAAAGAAATACTAAAACTTCATAATGGTTTAATTATGCTTAAACATTTTCAGCCTAAAGCCTAACAAACGTTAGCACCTTGGCACTAAGAGATGAGATTTTTCAATGAATAATACTTTGTGTAATAGCTCAGATATTTTCTAGGCTGAAGTAAGCATCTAGGAATAGCAGCACAAGGGACCATATTTTTAGTGCTTTTTCCCCTATGTCAATATCGTGATGAAGTGTGTATCTTAAATGTTAGTGAAATAGTTACATTTAGATTTTCAGGGTATTTTTTTTCAACATTTATTTGCTTATTACCTGTTCAAAACTTGTATTTGGCATATGTTATACATTAAGAAAATATTTAGCATAGAATTTTTTTAAAAATAAATAGTGGACTTCCAGTTTCAGCTCTGACATGTAGAACTTGGAGTTTGTCACTTCTCTCCTCGCAATAAGAAAAAAGCTGAGGCTAAGTGTGGTATCTCATGCCTGTAATCCCAGCACTTTGGGAGGCCAAGGCAGGCAGATCATGTGAGGCCAGGAAGTTGAGACCAGCTTGGCCAACATGGCAAAACTGCATCTCTACTAAAAGTACAAAAATTAGCCAGGCGTGGTGGTGCTTGCCTGTAATCCCAGCTACTCGGGAGACTAAGACATGAGAATTGCTTGAACCTTGGAGGCAGAGGTTGCAGTGAGCCAAGATTGTGCCACTGCACTCCAGCCTAGGTGACAGAATGAGACTGTGTCTCAAAAAAGAAAGAAAAAAAGAAAAGAAAAAAGCTGAACAAAACTAAAAATCATTTTTCTTAGACCTTTCAGAGAATTGAGGTCACAGGACAAATTGTCACCTAAAATCTAGAGAGACAAGGAAATACAATGAAGATTGTAGAAGACACTAGTGCCGTTTATGTAGAATACACTACATAAGTGTAGAATACATAAATGGTGATTTTGATGAATTGCTGGGGGTAAAGTACAGACTATTTTAAAAGTAACAAACTTCTGCAAGCCTATTCTTGGGGGACTTCTTCACTTTCATAGGTATTACTTCTAGGAACCTTATCAGGTACTTTTGTGAAAATTTGAGAAATGTCCTCTATGGTTTTTTGTTAGGAGTGGAAGAGAAGTAAGCATTTTGCAGTATGTCCAGAATATTCTCAATAACATGGCTTACTTTCCAAGGGAAAAAGAGTTCCAGAGCTTTATCCAACCTGGGGGGAAGGGCAGTTAGCCAACTCCGTCTTCCCCTAGCCTTCATGTCTCACATGCTGGAGGAGAAAAAAAGATGACAAAAACTTTTGAAGATCACAGCACAGGCATTCAGGCCCACTGAAAGACTGAGGTTTAATCATTACATTATAGGATGTTTCCCTCCTCATTTTACCACCATGTCTACAGGCCTCTACCTTAATAATAGTTCATTATAACTATAGGAGCTACAAGACACAAACTCTATTTAAGAAGGAGTTCTTAGGGAAAACCAAAGGCAATGGAGGAAAAAAAAACAAGAACATTAGAGGAAACTGAAGTTTCTGATACCTATAGCTACAGAAAACATTAAGCATAGCCCTGGCCAGGCGTGGTGGCTCATGCCTGTAATCCCAGCACTTTGGGAGGCTGAGGCGAGCAGATTGCTTGAGGTTAGGAGTGCTTGACCAGCCTGGCCAACGTGATGAAACCCCATCTCTACTAAAAATACAAAAATTAGCCGGGCATGGTGGTGCAAGCCTGTACTCCCAGCTACTCGGGAGGTTGAGGCAGGAGAATTGCTTGAACCCGGGAGGCAGAGGTTGCAGTGAGCCGAGATAGTGCCACTGCACTCCAGCCTGGGCGACAGAGTGAGACCCTATCTTAAAATACAAACAAACAAAAAAAGCATAGCCCAGCTTCTAGTGGCATTAACATATAGCCTCACATAAAAGGTCTATTTACCTCATTCCTATTACTTAATACATCATGTCCAGCTTTAAGCAAAAAGTAAAATTAGAAGGCATTGTAAAAGGTAAGAAAAAACAGTCTGAAGAGACAAAGCAAGCATCAGAACCAGAGTCAGATATATACTTATTACCAATTTTAGAAATATCAGATCGGGAATTTAAAGTAACCATGATTACTACGTTGAGAACTCTAATGGAAGAAGCAGCATGCAAGAACAGATGGGTAATGCAAGCAGACAGTAGGGAACTCTTAAGAAAGAATCAAAAGGAAATATTAGAAAACACCGTAACAAAAATGAAAAATGCCTTTGATGGACTCACCAGCAGGCTGGATGAAGCTGAGGAAAAAATCAGTGGGCTGGAAAAATAGGTTAATAGAAATTTTCCTAACTGAAATGCAAAGAGAAAAAAATAATTTATAAAAGTACAGCACATCCAAGAGTTGTGGGACAATTTCAAAAGGTGTAACATATGCATAATTGGAATACCAGATCAAGAAGAAAGAGAAAATGGAGAAGATAAGAGTTGAAGTACTTAATGCCAGATGACAAAACACAGGTCTAGGAATCTCAGAGCACACTAAGCAGGATCAATACTAAGGCTCTACACCTACATATGTCATTCTTAAGTTGCAGAAAGCCAAAGACAAAATCTTGAAAATAGGCAGAGGAAAAAGTGCCTTACCTGTAGAAGAACGAAGATGAGAATTACAGGGAACTTCTTGTCAGAAATCATTCAACAAAGAGGAGAATGGAGTGAAATATTTAGTGTCGAATGAAAAATAACACTTACCTGGATTTCTCTATCTAGTGAAATCATCCTTCAAAAGTAAAGGAGAAAGAAAGACTTTTTCAGACCAACAGCAGCTGAGGAAATTAGTTGCTGGAAACATCCTATGCAAGAAATATTAAAAGAAGTTCTTTAGGGGAAGGGAAAGCGATAGAGATTAGAAACTCAAATCTGTATAAAGAAGAGCATCGGAGAAGGAATAAAGGTTTAAAAAGTTTATTTTTCTTGTTCCAAATTGATCTGGTAGATAGCTGTTTATTCAAAGTAATAAAAGTAACAGTATGTTGGGTAATTACAACATGGATAAATGAAATGAATGTCAATCATGTTATAAAGGATGGAAGAGAGGAATTGGGAATACTCAGTTGTAACATACCTGGACTAACGGTGAAATGGTATAGTGTTACTTCAGATGAACTTGTGTTTTTTTGTTTTTTTTGTTTTTTTTGAGACAGGGTCTCACTCTCTCGCCCAGGCTGGAGTACATTGGTACAATCTTGGCCCACTGCAGCCTCAACCTGCCAGGATCAGGTGATCCTCCCACCTCAGCCTCCCAAGTAGCTGGGACTACAGACGTGTGCCACTACACCTGGCTAATTTTTGGATTTTTAGTAGATGCAGGGTTTCACCATATTGCCCAGGCTGGTCTTGGAACTCCTTGGGCTCAAGCGATCTGCCCGCCTCAGCTTCCCAAAGTGCTGGGATTACAGGCATGAGCCACTGTGCCCAGCCAAAAAAAAATTTTTTTAATAAGTATAATTATTATGAGAAGAAGAGAGAATGTTAGATCATTTAAAATGCTCAATTAAAGCTAGGAATAGAGAGTAGGATTTTAAAAAGAAAGAACAAGTATAACAAAGAAGAAACATTTATAAATATGATAGCTATTAATTCAACTATATCAGTAATCACTTTATTTATTTATTTAGAGATACAGTCTCACTCTGTCACCCAGGCTGGAGTGCAGTGGTGCCAACGAGACTAACTGTAGCCTGAAACTCCCAGGCTTAAGTGATCATTCCCACCTCAGCCTCCTGAGTAGCTGAGACCACAAGTGTGTGCCAGCATGCCTGGCTAATTTTTATATTTTTTATAGGGACAGGATTTTGCCATGTTGCCTGGGCTAGTCTTGAACTCCTGGGCTCAAGTGATCTACCTGCCCTGGCCTCCTAAAGTGCTGGGATTACAGGCATGAGCCACCATGCCCAGCCTCAGTAATCACTTTAAATGTGAATGGTCTAAATATACCAATTAAAATACACAGATTGTTGGAGTGGTAGGGGGAGATCCAACTATATGTTGTCTACAAGAAACCACTTTAGGACCAGGCACAGTTATACACGCCCGTAATTCCAGCACTTTGGGAGGACGAGGTCAACAGATTGCTTGAGCCTAGGAGTTTGAGACCAGCCTGGGCAACATGGTGAAACTCCAACTCTACAGAAAAATACAAAAATTAGTCAGGCGTGCTGGCACGCACCTGTGGTTCAGCCTACTCAGGAGGCTGAGGTGGGCAGATCACTTGAACTCGGGAGGTTGAGGCTGCAGTGAGCCGAGATCATGCCACTGCACTCTAGTCTGGGCGACAGAGTGAGATCTTGTCTTTAAAACAAACAAATAAACATTTTAAAACAAACAAACAAAAACTTTAAGTATAAAGACACAGATATGTTGCAAGTAAAGGGATATACAGAGATATACCATGGTAGCACTAGTCAAAAGAAAGCTGGAGTAGCTATTTTAATTTTAGACAAAGCAGGCTTCAGAAAAAGAAAATGTCAGGGATAAAGAGGAGCATTACATAATGATAATAGAACCAGTTCTTCAAGGAAACATAACAATCCTTAACAAATATGTACCTAACAACAAAGGTCAGAATGCAGGAGGCAAAACTGATAGACTGCACTATTATAAGTGGAAACATCAGCAATCCTTTTTCTGTAATGAATAGATCCAGCAAACAGAAAGGCAGTAAAGATATAGTTGAACTGAATTGCACCTTCAGTCAACTTTATTTAATTGACATTTATAGACTACTTCATCTAACAACATAGTCTTCTCAAGCACACATGGAGCATTCACCAAGATAGACTACATTCCGGGCCATAAAACATACCTTAAGAAACTTAAAATTGAGTATAAATTATACAAGGTATGCTCTTAGACCACAGTGGAATTAAACTAGAAATCAACAACAGAAACATAGCTAGGAAATCCCAATATATTTAGAAGTTAAACAACACACTTTTAAATAACACATGGGTCAGTGAAGTCTGAAGAGTAACATAAAAATACTTTGAGCAAAATAAAAGTGGAAATACAACTTATAAAAATTGGTAGGATATAGCAAAACTAGTGCTTAGAAGGAAATTTATAGCATTGACTGCATGTATTAGAGAAGAAGGAAGATATAAAGTTAATTACCTAAGTTTCTGCCTTAGGACACCAGAGAAAGAACAATTTAAGCCTAAAGCAAAGAGAAGAAAAGATGATAAAAATGGGAACACAAATCAATGAAGTTGAAAACAAGAAATTATTAGAAAAAAAATCAACAAACCAAAAGCTAGTTATTTAAAAGACTAATAAAATTAATAAGCCTGTAGCCAGGCTAACCAAGGGGGGAGAAAGAGAAGACGCAAATTACAAGTATTCAGAAAGAAAAGAAGATTCATTGCTGCTGATCTCTTAGATAATAAAAGGACAATAAACTTAACTTAGATAAAAGGGACCAATTTATTGAAAGATACAAGCTCCCAAAACTCACACAAGGAAAAATAGATGATCAGAATAGACTGTATCTGTTAAAGAAATTAAACCACCAAAGCTGAATAAGGACAAAACAAGAAAAGTATAGGTCAATATCCTTGAGGGACATACATGCAAAAATTCTCAATAGAATACCAGCAAACTGAATTCAACATCACATTAAAAGGATATGGTCATGATCAAGTGAGCTATCTTAAGTCATACTATAGACAGAAGCGAACATTTGAAGAGAACATGAATGGCAACTTTGAAAGTTGAAAACAGACTCAGAGGATCACCCTTGATCAGGTGTTCTCAAACTTTGGCATGCATCAAAATCACCTGGAGGGTTTATTAAAACACAGGTGGCTACCTCTGAGTTGTTGATTTAGTAGATCTGGGGTGGGACCTGAGAATTTGCATTTCTAACAAGTTCCCAGGTAATATTGGTGCTGCTGGTCCTGGGACCACATTTTCGGGACCACATTTTCAGAACCACTGCCCTAGATGTTCACAATAAACACTGATACGGAAAACCAGTAGAAAATATCTGTCATGTGTCTGAATTTTTAGGAAACAGCTTTAATTCTTATTGTAAATTGACATCTTATTATTTATAACTTTACTTTGAATATGTTTATCTCTAGTTGGCCTGCTTGTGTACTATTGAGTTAATAACTTAGTAATTAGTCTGGGTTCTTTGCTACCTAATGAGAATAGTGCCATCTAGAGGCATTAGCCCAAAGGGCCACCATAGCGCCAAAGGAAGCTGTGGTTTCTGGAGAGGGTGAGAGGGCAACTCATTATCATCAAGGACTTATTGACAACCTACTAGGTTATTAACTGTCATGCTACAAGGGTATACAAAGAGTTAGAATTGCTTGCCAGTCTCCACCTTTTAGGTTTGTGACTTTCTGTATCTGAGTAGCTCAAAAGTTCTGTGAAGGCTAAGTAGGGCTCTGGGCCTTGGACCAGCCCCCCATTCAGCTAGAACAGTTCTGCTCTCATCTGTTGTACACATTGGAGGTTATGTTTGCAAATGTATGCTATAGTGGCTTTGGATAGGCAACACAGATATATTATTTGCTGTCCAAGATTGTCCTAAGGTACTGATTTTCTGGCATGCAAAATAATGGCGTGAAAAATATGTAATCATTGAGAAAAAGGGCATAAGCTATTACCACACATCAAATGTTGAAAGTATGTTTTCCTTCATATTAGCACATGTTAAAATTATGAACAGTTGGAAATAATATTCTAGTAGACCACATTATCACAATCATAAGTTGAATATAATTGGAAGAACAGATGTTCACCAATGTCAGAAGGGGATGATTCGAGGGGAAAAAAAGTGTGAAAAGAAAATTTGAGGAGTTAGGAGTATAAACTGTTTTCTGGATTTGATTTGCTATAGAGTCAGCACACATGATGGGAAATTCATTATCAACTATTTCAAGTCATTGTTTAGAAAGTATGAAATGAAAGCTAGAAATCATGCTGGTTTTGTATTAGCAGATAAAAACATTACCTAAAAAAGTTATACAATCTTGCAACTAATGATGAATTTGAGTCATGCTTATCCAAAGAAACAATAAACTACTCTCACTGCAGTCCCCCAAATAGGAAGAAAGAGAGAAAACCCAGTGGAGCTTTCTCTTGCCAGGACTGGGAGTGGCAGGGCAACAAGGAGGTAAGATGGAATGACTAGATGAGCCCAAGGCAGGAACAACCAATCAATCAACTCTCAGGGCTCACAGTCCCTAGAAATGAAAGCACGTAAATCTGTGGGTCAGAAGAGCAAAAAACCAAAGTGCAGAGCAAGAGAAGAAGTTAGGAATCAAGCAAATTGTTAAGAGTCCCAGGGCAGACAGAAGTAGGGAGAGTGAGCATTGCAGTTAACGTCCATAACACAGACCAGATTGTGCGCTCCTCTCTTGGCAATCTATAGGTATCTTCTCATTGATCACAGAACCGAGTCCAGACTCCTTGGTGTGAAGTTCAGTTTCCTACTTCATTTATACCCAACTTTCCTTTTTAACCTTATGCTTCACCTTTCCATATAACCACACATAGCCACAGAACTCATGGCTTTTTCCAAGTAACAGCCATGGAAACATGGCTGTTTCCAAAATATCACTTTACAATAAAAAGTAACACACTTTTTATGCCTTTTTCTTTTATTGTTTGCTAAGTCTATAACATTATGTTCTCCTTGCTGAATCTCTCTGCTGTTTCCTGCTAAGGACTGTTGAAGTCCTTAGCAGATAATTGGTTTTAGTCAAGTGGAAAGCATAATTTGATGACTGTGGTTTTCACCGTTTGGAGAATAATAATTAAAAATTATTTTATAAAACATATGCTTGGGGTTTACAAATTTTGAAATTTGTTTTCTAAATAAGATAGCAGTGTTAAATAGAATAATTATCTCCCATCTCCTTCACTGTAATGCATACTTTAAGAGCTAACAGAGTTGTACCAGTGTTTAGATACAGGGAGCTTACAGAATACTTAGGGAGGGAGCTGGGGTTTGATGAGAGTGTACTCCCACTTCAGCCTAGTAACCTCAGGACAGTTGTGAAAGGAAGGCCTTATGGATCGATGAAGTAGGTAAGCCTACAGAATTAGGGACCACAGTTCTCATTGAGCCAATTCACTGATATTCAGTATCAACCCACAACATCTTTGGGGGCTTCTGTATTCCATGTGAGAAAGAAATCAATGGTGATTTTCCCTACAAAATAGGTGTAAGATATCTAGGAACAACCGCATGTCAATGCATTCTTTTTTTTAAATTTATTTTGAGAAATTTTTAAAAACGTAGCAAAATAGAGTTATATAACAATCAAAGTTTCTATTACTCACAATTGACAGTTAACATTGCCATATTTACATAAATATTTTTTGTTAACAAAATAAGTGAAATAAAACAATACAGAAAAAGGTTTGTTTTTTGTATCCCATCTCTAGTTCTATCATGAATTTAGAGTAAATATTTCATGTCTCTTTTTATGTTTGTAGTTATATATATTTATATATATGTATAGCATGGTGAACAACATATTATTTTTTTGTGTATTTGAAAGAAATTAAGGAGGAAACTTTTTATTTTATTTTTTCTTAAAAAAAAAGGTATACATGAGCAGAATGTACACGTTTGTTACATAGGTATACGTGTGCTATGGTGGTTTGCTGCACCTATTGACCTGTCCTGTAAGTTCCCTCCCCTCACCGCCCCACCCCTCAACAGCCCTAGTATGTGTTGTTCCCCTCTCTGTGTCCATGTGTTCTCAATGTTCACCTCCCACTTATGGGTGAGAACATGCTTCACAAGGAAACTGTATTTTCATCTTGATCAAAGAATTCTTTAAAATATGAAATATTATTCTTAGCCTTTCAATTTTTACATGCAAGTTGTTTAGTTATTAAGATACAGCTTTGGAGTAATGACTGGGGGCAGGATGGAAGGGTTTAGTAGCTGAGCAAATTCTGGTGTGAGATGTAGTTACTGTCTGCAGACTCAGTCCTACCAAAGGCATGTGTAGTGCTAATCTCCAGTCTTGTCTGTTCCATGGTCAGAGATGACCAATAAATACTGTTTGTATGAAAATAAATAGTTGAACTTATACATTTATATTCAGTATATAGCCATATATATATATATATATATGAATGGCAGTTAAATATGTAGTTAAATTTAAACTGTTTTGCTTGGATTCAGATACATAGTTAAATGTATACATTTATAGTAATATACATGTAATAAAGAATATCTTCTAGTTATTTATCTTGGGTAGAGTGGGAAAAGGTACAGTACTTTTTATGAATCAAAGGGCCGTTACCCTTCTATTGTGATCCAATAAACTGTGTTCTTTTCTCACACAAATGCTTGAGATACTTAACTTTGGCATTTAATGATTGTGTTTTTATCTATGTCTGTTTCCTGTTAGTAGATTATGATCTCCTGAAAGGCAAAGGTAGTATATTTTATTTATGTCTGTACTTTCAATAATACCAAGGGCCAATTAGTCACTGTTTTCTGTCAGAGTAGTCAATTCAGTTCATGTAAAATGAAGAAAATAATAATCATCAGATTTATCTGTGTTCTGAGGCTATAAGGGAATTTAAAATTGAAAGCAATTTTAATGACTGCTTAATAACTTTAATAACTGGAGCAGCAAATTTGAACGATTAGACAAAAAGTTAATGCGAAGTACTGATATTATTTAATTTCTCTACTAACTATTTCAGAACAAGTTGTGTGTACCTTTTGAAATAAACTCTAGAACCGTTAGGTGAGCTGTGAAGTGATATCTAATAGAGATGGGTCTAAGAAATAGGCTCAGGTTCTAAGAGAAAATTGTCAATATGATATTGGGGCTGGGGTTACAGATTAACAGCATCTCAAGGCAGAAGAATTTTTCTTAGTACAGAACAAAATGGAGTTTCTTATGTCTTCCTCTTTCTGCATAGATACAATAACAGTCTGATCTCTCTTTCTTTCCCCCACAATTTATTGGTAACAATATGGTGGATTGGATTGTCATCCACCAATTCGGGCAGTTCTCAATTTAGAAATCTCAATTTAGATTATGTTCCAAATGTGCTTCATTGATTATAACTTGGAGTACATTTTCCTTATAGAAAGAATGGTATAAATGATTTCCATATTAGCATTCTTCTGGTTTTGATACAATTGAATGTAATTTTTTCTACATTTTTTGGAGAGTAAGTTAATAATTTCTAGCATTTTCTCAGAATATATTACTATTAAAATAATAGGAATGAAAATATATAATCAAGTATATAGTCTTTTAACATTTCATTTTCTGCTAGTAAAATAATATCTAGAATTTTATTTACTAGTAAAATGAAAAAAGATAGGCTGGGAATGGTGGTTTACGCCTGTAATCCCAGCACTTCAGGAGGCCGAGGTGGGTGGATCACCTGAGGTCAGAAGTTTGAGACCAGCCTGGCCAACATGGTGAAACCTCATCTCTACAAAAATTCACCAGGCCTGGTGGTGCACGCCTGTAATCCCAGCTACTTGGGAGTCATGAGAATTGCTTGAACCCGGGAGGCGGAGGTTGCAGTGAGCTGAGATTGTGCTACTGCATTCCAGCCTGGGCGACAGAGTGAGACTCCATCTCAAAAATAAATAAATAAAAATAAATTTTAAAAGATAGCACATTTAAATTTTCAGTCATTGTACATTTTTAGAAAGTACTTTCCCCATTAATCTTACCACTTTGGCAAACACTAGCAAGTACTGTGTTCTTGAAAATCTACTGAATAGTTCCCAGAGGTAAAGCTAGATCTACCTCTGAAATATTCTGATTTATAATGTCCTTTAAAGTTTATCTGAAATACAATGTTTTAGGACCTTATTTATGATGTCAGTGAAATTTTAGAATATTTAGCCCATTTTCTTTGCTCTAACCATGTAAATGTTCTTGGTATATATTTGGAGGAGGACTTAAATAACAGGAATTGAAATGATGACAATCATAGCTTTTATTTATCTGCTTATGCCAGACACTTAAACAACAGCCATTGGAGGCTAGCATTATTATCTCTATTTTGTGTATGAGGAAACTGAAGCCTAGGTTAAAGGATTTGCTCAAGTCACACAGTTAGGGAGATGCTGAGCTGAGATTTAAACCCAGATGTATCTCATCTCCAGAGCCCGTTTATCTTTGTACTGCACCTACTGTCCCAACAGAAGGAAAACTTGGATATTTCCAAATGCTGCATATTTTGAAAAAGAACTTGGGATGCAAATATTAACATTATTGTGGTTTTTTATATCAAAGAATGATATGATCACTTCTGGGTAGAGTGATTAGAGAAGCAAGGTATAAACTCTTCAAACCTAAATATAATATTTCATGCATAAAAAGGTGGATTTGGAGCCATTAGAAGTCCTACCAAAGTCAGGTTCCAGATTCTCTCTCTTCCCAATTCTGTTTCATGCTGAACTTCCTTGTTAAGTGGAGAATGGATTGTAAGCTGACCTGGGAAAAAGAGTGAGAGCATAACATGTTTAACCTGGGAGATTAATAGTACTATGGAAATAGGGAAGTAAGCCTCATTGAGTCAAGAAAAAGCTTTTCAATAACTGTATGCTGGACTTTGGGGAGCAGTGATAAGCAAGACCTGAATTGTAAAGTAGGAGTGAATTAGGAGTAGTATAGTGAGATAAATAAACAGGGATGTTGTGGAAACTGAAAAGAGAGCCACTTTACTCCTCACATCATGAATCATAAAAAGGTCTCTCAGAGGAGATAACGCTTGTTTCAAGTTTGTAGGATAAACAGGACTTAGACTAAAAGGGGAGATGAGCACACACACACACAAAAAAAACCATATACAAACAAAACAGAAGAGTAGTTTTTCTGAGTTTGGGGTGCCTCTTGAATGAGCCATACCGACTGTAATTCCCATCAATGCCTTGCAAGTCATGAGAGCAAGAAATTCAGTGTTCAGTCACTCAAATTTTAGGAAACAGTTGACTGTCTTGTGATATTTTGAAATATTACACCCTGTCATTGGGTTATATATATGTTCATAGGGAAAACCTATTCAAGTTTTCTACACTCGTAGAATATTAGAGTGGCCAGCATCCTCAGAGATCATCTAGTCAGTTCCAGTTTTCATTCAGCCATAACATTTGCTGTGTACTAGTCACAGGACACATGAAAAGATGGACCTTGCCTTCAAGGAACTCACAGCCTAAGAGAGGAAATAAACATACAAACAGACAATGTGCAAGTTTGATAAAGTGCTATAATAAAAGAGGTACTGATTAAGCACAGAAGAGAGCTCATTAATTTTTCTTGAGGATTAGCTAGGTAAAGTTTTAATTAGGTCTTGAAGAACCTAGAAGAGCAGTTCATTTGTGACAGGGAGGGAGGATATTTCAGGTCAGGACTGCTGATTATTTAAAAGGGACAGTTTTTAACATTTCTACCTAAGTTTTTCGATCTGGATTCTTTAAATAAATAAAGATTATCTAAAATAATTAAGTCATGTCATGGACTTTCTTAGTTGTCTATTAGTAATATAAATTAGCCTAAGCAGCTGGTTCTCAATGTGTGGTACTGGGACCCAGTGCATCAACATCTCCTGGAAACTTGGAAATGCAACTTCTCAGGCCCCAGCCTAGACCTACTGAAACAGAAACCCTGGGGTGTGGAGCCCAGCAATATGTTTTAACAAGCCTTTAAGGGGATTCTGATGTATGCTCAAGTTTGAGAACCACTGGCCTAAGCTAACAGTAATACACAGAATTATTGAAAGTTCATGGACTTTGAGGATTTGGAGACCTGAATTTGAATCTCACCTCTCCCACTTAATAAGTTTGTGACTATTAATCTGTCACCTAATATCTATGAGCATTGGGATTTTCACCTATCAAGTGAAGGTTATAATGTTTCCTTCCCAAAATTGTTGTGAAAATTAGTTAATATAATGAATGCCTAATATTATCACTGGCACACTGTAGGCTTTCGATAAATGGTAACTGCTTTTTATCATGATTGTTATCTTTTTCTTGATCTTTTTTCAGTGATTACTTTTACTTAATGAAAACGTGCTCATATTTTTGCTTTTAGATTCAAACGCTCAAGAAATTAAGGACATTTATGGACTAAATGGACAAATAGAGCACAAACTAGCTTTCCTGAGAACTCATGTGCCAAAGGACATGAAACTTGTGCTCATTGGCCATTCAATAGGCAGCTATTTCACACTTCAGATGCTGAAGCGAGTCCCTGAGCTCCCGGTAAGTAGGTCTCCAGAGGTAACTGTGGGTGCTGGACTGTGTGCCTGCACAAATCCTCCTCACCTTTCCTATGTTCTTTTGTCTCTTGTTCAGTTGATAAATAGAACAGAGAGAGGGATATTTGCTTTCTGCCTTTATCCTTATCTCCATATTACGATGGGCTTATGTGAATGTATGTTCATAATGTTTCAAAGAATAATGCTGAGGGAGATAAGAAGTTTCTGAAAGAATGCCTTTGAATCTAGGGTTATCGGAGTTCTTATGTTACACATTACTTGCTGTTTTTTATAAAGAAATATTTAAGAGCGGTCACTAGGTAAGACCTAGACAAGAATCTGTCTTTTGTGGGAAGGTATTTTGTAAATATTCTTGCCTTTTTCAGAAGGAAGAAATGTATCATCATCATCACTGATAGGCAAACAGCTGTCTTTATGGAACACTACATCTTTATTAATTCATAAGTTCAGATTCTTACCTATTCTGTATCTTGGCAGCCTTTTTGAGACACATATTCACAAATGCTTGCAAATATTTGTTGGATACCACTGTGTGCCAGATATTAAGTGAGGCGCTAGAGACGCAAAGACCTATTTAAAGTGCCCAGGAAAGCAAGTGAACTATAAGAGATATAAAACAAAACAAAAAAATTGTACTTTCACTAGCATATACCATTGAAATAACTCACTGAATGGATGCAATTCACAAGATAATTCATTTCTTTATTCAACAAACATATATTAAGCCCTTTCCATGTGTCAGATCCTGTGCTATGTTTTGAGGACATCCCAGAGAGTAAGACAGTCTTTGAAGTAGGAGAGCCTGGAGTCTGCTTGAGGAGACAGTCTAACCAATAGATGTGATACCTACTGTCTTGTTTCAGTTCAGGGGGTGTGGGAGCATGGAGTGCTGGTAAACCTAGTAATCTGAAGCCAAGATAGGACGTGATCGCTTCATGGCTGCTTTGTGCTAGGATTTTGACTGTTTCTCACTCCGTGGGATAAAATATCTTCAGTGGGGTCTCAGAGCTCACTAAGCACTCGCTCCTTTTCTTGCCAGCTTCACCTGCTTGCTTCTTATTCGTAATTGCCCTTGGGAAATGTACAACTATAGCCTCCCTCGCTGTGGTTTTTGATACTAAATGGAGGTTTTAAATTATTATTGGGTATAAGAAAATATGTTTTTCATTTCTAAGTGTGAATTCAATAAATTCAAGATTGTACTCTGTTCTCTGTATTATTGTCTACTGTGTTGGGTGTTTTTTCCCTAAATAAGGTGTCTTAATCAGAATGCAGGCTTTATTTTTCCTTTTAGCATTTTGCACAGCTTCTAATCTCTTTTGTGCCTTCGAAGTCTCCTCTAGTACTGTGTCATGTGGTTGCCATCTTTATGGTGTCCAGCTCTGCCTCTTAGTGGTTCTACTTGCACAGTTGCTGTGAGTTCTGGCAGTAGAATCAGGACACCTAGGTTCCAATATTTATTGTCCTTTTTTTTTTTTAGTCTGTCTGATCTTAGACAAGTTATTGAGTCTCTACTTTAGTTTTGAGTCTCAACCTCAGTTTCCTCATTTGTAAAATGGGGATAATATGTTCTTCAAAGTATTTTTGTGAGGAATTATATAAAGCATCAAGAATGGTATCTGTAACTTTAAAGTTCCAAATAAGTATTAGCTATTATTATTATTAGGGAAATAACTCTAGAGTCATTGTCTCAGTCATTAGGTTAACTATTGTATTAGGTATCTATTGCTGTGTATCAAATTGCCCCAAAACTTAGCAGTGTAAAACAATACACATTTCTTCACTCGTAGTTTCTGGTCAGAAGTCTGGCCACAGCTTAGCTGGATTCTCTGCTTCAGGGTCTCTCCCAAGATTTTAACCAACATGTCTTCCAGGGCTACAGTTTTATCTGAAGGCTTTAGTTGAGATGGATCTGCATCCAGGCTCACTCTTGTGGTTTTTGACAGGATCCCATTCCTTGAGAGTTGTTGGACAGAGAGCCTTCATTCAGCAGTGGCATTTGGGGGGAGGCCACCTTCTTTAACGTGTCGGCCTGTCTAGCTGACTTCATTAGAGCACACCTGGAAGAAGAGTCAAGGAGGCAGACAGCCTGCTAGCAGATGAAAATCACAGGCTGTAACCCAGTTACAAAGTGACATCCCATCACGTTTCCTGTATTCTTGTTAGAATCAAGTCACTAGGTCTAGCCCACACTCAAGGAGAGATAATTACACAAGGGCATGAATACTAGGAGGTGAAAGTCACTGGGAGCTGCCTCAGAGCTGCATACCCCATCATTCTAAAATTAGGATTTCACTTGTGTGTTGTGCAGTCAAGAACATGGACATAGGATGTACATAAATTGTTGCATTTATTTACTGGTGTAGGCAATGACTTGGACCTGTCAAATAAAATGTAGCAAACTGACATGAAATGTAGTTATTTGTTGTTAGTTGTTCCAGGTGTCTTAAACACTTTAAAAACATTAAAAAGGATACTTGCATATTTGAAATAATAGCATTACTGTTCTATAAACATAGGAAAGAAAATATTCATTTTGGAGCCCATCACAGACTATTATTAACTTAATCACAGATCTGTTTTGGTTTTTGTGTTTGCTTCAGATCTGTTCTGCATGTGATGTGTGGTTTCTCTTTTGTGTGTTTGAAAATGATTGTTCAATACATTGTCTTGAACCTTTCTCTCTTTTTGGGCCCATATTCACAATGTCTGTTGGGAAAGAAGTAGAATGCATCTCAAGGTTAATGTGCTTTCTTATAGCTTTTTCAGCATCATAACTTTCTAATTATTGTCCTGCCTTCAGGTGTCCTTGCTTTTGCAGGAATAGTGGTGAAAAGGGGAAACAAAGATGAAACGTGAACTTAACCTACTCTATTTGTGGAGACACAACTCAAACTGATTATAGAGTTTTCAGAAAGATATGTGAAGCTGTGTTTTATCTTCTTAAAAAGGGTGTAAGCTAGAAAATAATGTGTGCAATAAATTGTCCAAAGGGTGTAAGCTAGAAAATAATGTGTGCAATAAATTGTCCAAAAGGTCACCTCTTTTGGGGGGTAGGAGGGGCAGTGAACATCTGTATGATTTTTAAATTATTATTCAGAAGCTTTATCTGGTTTCAATTAACTACATTGTTGAAATTCCCTACCCCATCCCCAGCCCCCATTAAACACCTGGGTCAGTGAATATTGGTGGTGTGATCCCTGCCAAAGTGTTGAAATTTCAGTGTCTCTGGGCTACTCTAAGACACCGCAGTGCCTGCATGCCTGAAGTTAGCATGACATGCTCCATTTAAGATGCATTTGACAAATATGTTTGTGTAAGCCAGAATGTTACAATCCTTAATCATTTTGCCAAAAATAAGTTAGCTATTATGTTTTATAACATATGAAGTGTGATAATAAGAAACTTGTGTTTCCATCTCTTCTGTTATTTTTTACTGGAATATTTGACTCTTGTAAGATTTTGAGGACATATGTGTAGTTTAGTAGCTAGCTGGTTTATTTAGTTTTATTTTGGTTCAGCTCTTTGTAATATTTTCATAACTAATTATAGGCAACTTGGTCTTAAATCATTTTAAGAGACTTATTGTATATGTCAGATATACTGTCTGACCTGTATTTTAATATACTAAAAAAAAGTTGCCCCTTTAAAAAAATCTGGCATTTAAAGTTGTTTATCTAAACAAATTCCATACATAGAATTAGAGATATTCTTCATATATTTTGAAATTAGTGCTCAGTATAGGGAATTTAAAGAGAAACTTGAGCAAATAGGTAATTGAAAGACTGTTAAATAGTAGCTATCATGACTTACAATAATAAACATAATTGTTTTTAGATTCATAGAATCTTAGAACTGAGATAGGCTTTAGAGACAATCTGGCCCCATCTTTCATTTTATCAGTGGGAAGTGAGAGAAAGGTCCCTTGCCAGTATTCAGCCTTGGCTCTGCCTGAATCTGGGGTGGGGCATACTGGTATTAGCTGTGAGTATAAAAAGAATCCAAGAAGGTATTGATGGCTCCTTCAACCTGTGGATGATAGCAGAGCCTATAGCTATTACAGTGTGCCCTGCAGTGTACACAACTGCTAAGTTCGTGTGACTCATTGTGTTGGTGCTCCAAGAGTAGGAAACCCCGTGAATGCTCTAGCAATTTCAGGATTGTGTGTTGGGGTGGGGGGAGAATAATACAGAAGCAAAAAAGTAGTAATCTTATCTCCACTATCTAGAATCTTCTTTCTCTTATCAACCCTCTATATGTTAAAAATGTGTCACCTGATTTTGCCAGTAAATCTTTTTCATAAAGTTCAAGTTTGGGAGTTGAGTTGAAAGCCCTTGATTCTTCACTGAGTCTTGGGGTGAACTTTAATTAATATAACTTTAATTTTCCTCTAAGAATTTATATAACCTTTAATGATAACATGTTCTCCTCTTCGAAGGATATCAGATCCTTCACAAACTTAATTTTTTATATTATTTGGCCTTCTGTGCATAATAACACAGAGTTTCCTTTGTCTTCTGGTTAGCAAAAATGTCTTCTCTCTGAATGAAATTTCTGGATTACTTAAACTCACTCTCTTAAGTACCAGACTATTTTACCCAACTGGATAAAAATTTGTCTAAAATATATTACTTACTTATCTGCCTTCAGCAATGCATATTGACTATAGAGGAATTTTTTCTTAGTGATTTAAGGGCAGTGGTAATAACACTATTATTTTGATAGTGTTATGCTAGAATAAAATGTAATCAAAAGGAATGTGCCTGTGTCCTGAAATTTCTTAGGTGATAATGCTTTTTCATTTTTTAAAAAAAATGTTTCATGTATGTCTATTTTAGTTTTTCTATCTCCTCTCTCAGTGTTAAGTACTTCTTCTCTTCCCTACTTCTAATTTATTGCTACTAATTTGCTGTGGGCAGAGAAAACCAGTAACTACATTATAATTTTTTTCAGTAGGAATGAACAGGTCCTAAATAGATAAAGGAGTAAAATTGACAGCATTAAATGTGTGGACATTGTTATCACTCAGCCTTTTTTTCTCTTCTTTTGAGATCCTCAAAAAGGATGTTTTGGGGCATTTTAAGTACTCAAAATTTTAGAGACTCAACATACAACTATAGCTGAGAAGTTTGCAAAACTTTACTAAAAGAATTAGAATAACATGTTAGATCATATATGTTTTGATTCAGGAATATACCTCATCCATACTAAGGAAAAAATAGCTTCAGTGTTCTCCAACAATGAGATTATTGAGACTGTGGTTTACTTACACTATTCTGCTGAGCCTTCATGTCTGCTGTCAAAGTAAGACATGCTTGTAAGAAGCATTCATATTATGTCACTCAGCTATGTTTAACAGTTGAGATAATCTGGAGGGAGGGAGAAGAATAGGAAATAACTCATTTGTCGTAGTAAATTTTGTCAGAATCCTATCCCTAGATTCAAGTGACAAGTGACAAGACACGGAAGGCAAAATGAGGCAGTACTGTAAGGCTCAGAAAGTTTTGTGGAGAGGGTTGTCTTCTACCTGGGAAGCTCAGAAAAAGCTTCCTGGAAGAGCTTCAGGGCCACTGAAGGATGAGTTGTATCTGGAAGTAGAGGATTTTATATGGTGGCTAGGGGGTACTGTGCATTCTAGGCAAGGGAGACAGCATGAAGAGAAATGGTTTTCATCACTGGGCACGGGGAGAGGGCAGTGGGTGGTGTGACTGGGTTGCGGCAGAGTGTGCGTGGAGGGGTCGATCGGGCATGAGATTCAAGGTTGATAGAGATGGACAAAAAGCTGGGCTAGGGAGCATGGGCTCATTTTCTGGACAGCAGAAAGCCATTGAAGGATCTCTGATGATAGCAGTCATGCATCAGGTAAATTAATCTCTCAGAGAAAAGGAAAATGAGATGGAGATAGAAAAAGTGCAGCATAAAAAGTGAAGATCCAGGTGACAGGAAAGTTTACTAGTCCAAATAAGAAATAATGAAGACAGTGTAAGGGATAAAATTGCCCAGGGAAATTGTTGAGAAAAGAGAGAGGCCATAGATGTGTATCAGCGGAATGATTTCATTTGCCATAAAGGAGTGTTACAGGATCTTTGGGGTGTTGCTGTTCTGGCCAGAAACCTGTGGTTGGCGGAATCTTTGCCTGAGTTTTGCTCGGGCCCACTGGGCTCGTTCCACCGACTCTGCCTGACAGGCTATGCTCAGCTCATGCTGCCGGCCTGGATCCTATGCCTCCAAGGGAGACTAGAGTCAGGCGTGGAGTGATGAGGGGTGTGTGTGAGCGAGTATGGGGTCCAGCCACTGCACAGTCAGACATGCTGGCTGCTGCCATGGGGCAGGCAGCTCCAGGTGCCAGCATGGGTGTCAGCTCTCTGTGAGGCTGCAGCTGGACCAGGCACACTGTAAGCAGCTTCCCCAGCTGGCACCAGGGAATGCGGTGGCACCCAGAAGCTTAGAGACTCCAGGAACCACAAGGCCCCAAAGAGGGAGTCACAGCTCTGGCTCAGGGAGCTCCCAGGTCTGGGCTCCCTGAAGTGCTGCAGATTTTCTCTCCTTCTCTTCACTCGCAACATGGCGAGCAGGGGGCATGTTTCAGCTTTGTTTGTGTTACAGCAGCTCTTTTAGCCTCGCCACTCATCAGGTCCTGAGTTCTTGTTCTGCGACCAGGAAGAATGAGGTTTGCAGACATGCAGAGGGTGAGCAAGACAGAGAGGAGCTTTATTGAGCAATAAAACAGCTCAGAGAAGACCCGCAGTGGACAGCTCCTCTGTGTAGCCAGGGTGTCCCAGTGAGTGTTCAGCTCCTAGCAGAGAGGGTAGCTCCTCTCTGCAGCTGGTCATCCCATCCTGCAGCTCTCAGCAGAGAGGAGGCCCTGTAGGTGGCTTCTCTGTGCAGGCAAGTCATCCCTTTGTCTGGATCTCTTGGCAGAGATAGTAGCTCCTTTCTGCAGCAGGTCATCCCATTGTCTCTCTGTCCTCTGCTCTGCTCTGGCTGAGCCCAGGGCTTTTATGGGCCTCAGAGAGAAGGAAGTGCCCACTGATTGGTCCATGGGCAGCCAGGGGTAGGCCCAGAAAGGGCACCACAAGTCCCCTACTCTGGTCCCTGGGACTGGCAGCCTGGCCCCTAGCCTTCAAACCCTCCCTGGCCTGCAGGTGGGGCCTCACCGGAGATCCTCCCTCTTCTGCCCAGTGGCCCATCTGCCTCCTGCCAGCATCTAAGGCACCCAGGTTGCTTGTGCCAAGGGGCACCTGCAGGCCAGTGCTGAGCCGCCCTCAACACACCCCCTCAATTTCCCCTCATGCTTGTCAGCACCCGAAGTCCAGAGGGGACTGAGGTGGCAGGGAGCTGGCATGTCAGTGCTCCTCAAGTGTGTGCACACCCAGCCGGGCTGTGACAGTGACCAGGCTTGGCCCCAACCCTACTCCAAGATCAGAGCGGGCACCAGGAGCAGGGAGAGGTCATGGAGTGGAGCAGGCCTCTCCAAGCCTTCAAGGGCAAGGGAGGGGGGACTTCCCAGGCCCCCAAGGGCACAGAGAGGCCTGGGTCCACAGCCTTGTCTTGGGCTGCTGCCTGTTTCTGGCTCTAGTGGCTCCATGGAGCATGAAGCCCAGCTGCACCCCCTCACAGCCTGGGGCAGGGGCTCTAGGTACTTGCTGGGCCCAGGCCAGTGTCAGGGTAGGGGCAACATCTCCATGAGCTCCCCCAGTGGCCCTGGCATTCAGGGGCAGCTGGGAGCTCCCCCTCGCCCAGATTGTGGCCCTGCCCAGTGCGCACCTCCAGGAATGGATTGCAGGCCCTGGTCTGGCCGTCAGGAGTGTCAGGCCTGGTGGTCACCCTGATGCAGGGCAGACCCTGGGGACAGAGCCCTGGGCGGCCCTGCGCAGAGCCCCCTCCTGAGGCACAGAAACCCTCCACTGCTGGCCGGTCCCCGAAGCAGGCGTCACAGTCAGCTGCCTCAAGGACGTGGGGCACAGGGGACCCACCACCGCCATTGCAGCTCCTGTAGCCACTTCTGCTGCCACCGTCTATGCCTCCCCACTGTGGATAGCCCCCTGCTGCCATCAGGAGGGGAAAGAGGTGGAAGTCACAGAAAGAGGCAGAAGATATAATAATTTTCCAAACTATTGGCTGCAATCCATTAATGGATCCCAAAATCACTTCAGTGGGTTGCAACCAGTGGATCAGTCAAGACAGTAGACTGTGCTATAATAACACAATGTCAGTGGCTTTTAACAACAAAGGTTTGTTTCTTACTCATGATACAAATCCTTTGAGGGTAGGCTGCCCCTATGAAGATCTCTCTATGCAAGCTTTCTCCAGAATCCAGATTGATGGAGTAGCCTCTGCCTGGAATATTCAAGTCCCATGGCAGAGGATATAAAGTGAATAGTGAACCACACCTACATTTTAAAACCTCTGCCTGGAAGTGAAAATTTTCACTCCTCAAATTTTATTGGACAGAGCAAATCATATGACCAAGTCAGCCATCAATGAGGCTGTGAAGTACAGTCCTCCCCAGAGAATGGAAGCGTCTGTTTGTGACCAATGAAACAGTGTTTTTAAACAATGTATAATAAAATCAAGTAAAATAGAATAGAATAAAAATATATTGCAGTAAAGGCATGTATTATGAAACTTTTGTTTCACTTTGTGTGTGTGTTGATAACATAGTAGATTATAATGTCGAATGTATATCTTACTGTGAGTTAAGGTAAAAAAAAAAAAAAGTTTGAAAACCATTCATCTGGACTAGAGTACACCACAGCAGCTAAGAACAGAGCAAGAATGTCAAGAAAGGGGTAGATATATGGAGGATTACAGATGGCCACAGATTTTTTTGTCATTCCTCTCAAGAAATGAAACCTGTTTCCCTTCCCCTTTAAATTTAGGCCAAGCATGTGACTTACTTTCACCAATAAGATACAGTGGAAGTAATGTACTTCTGGTAGCTTCAAGTCCAGGCCTTAAGAGGACTAGGAGCTTCTATTTCCTCCCTCTCAGAAGCCAGCTGCTGTGTAAGAAAGCCGACTGCCCTGAGACCACGAGGCTGAGAGAAGCCCAAGCTAGCTACGTAGGAGGATCATGAGGCACCAGGCCTGAGTGAAACCTTCTCGGGTCTTCCAGCCCATCTCAGCCCAGCCCATCCGCCACTGAATGCAGCCCAATGAGTGACCCCAGCCCACACCACATGGAGCAAAAGAACCATCCAACTGAGCCCTATTTGAATTCCTGACCCACAGAATTGTGAGAAAGCAAAATCATTGTGATTTTAAACCATAAGTCTAGAGATGCTATGTTATATAGCAGTAGATAATTTAAACAAGGTAACAGGGTTGAATGTAACAAATGTTGAAGGCTTCAGGCTTCTAGAGTAAAAGGTTCTTGGTGTCCTCGAAGACAGACTTTTAGTGAAATAATGGGACAAGGGGGTTGCAGGAAGTTAGGTGATAAATGGATAGTGATTCCACTGGCCAGTGAAGGAGAAGAACACATAATAATTTAAGGAAGAAGCTGGTCAAGGGAACTTTTTTTCCTGTAAGTAGGGGAGAATTTAACATATGCTGAGAGGAACAGCCCAAGCGTAGAGAGATGTCGAAAATGAAAGACAAATAGGAACTTTTGTTGGAACAGGTTTCCTTCCATTTGTCTTTTAGTCTACATACTTGAAAACTTGGAAAATGGAATTTTTCTTAATATTTATGTCTTTGCAAAAGTGGTTTACCCCTTCCCTGGGGTGTAGGGGGAACATATATTACATATTTGGTTCTCCTTTTCCATCTAGAAAAAGTCTAGCTCAATTTTTAAAATTGATGTTATTGTCATTACTAACAGTGATTATACCTAACATTCATTTGAAATTTATAAAACGTGTTCACATGTAACAAGGTATTTTAACAATCTGATTTTTCCCATCTTAAAGATGAGACCGAAGTGCCAAGGAGCCATGTGTCCAACCCATATGTCAACTAGTAGAAAGTAGCAGAGCTGGGACTCTGTATTCTGTTTTCTAACTTTCCCACTACCTGTTTTCTAGGTGAGTTAGAGAGGTGATGATTACAGATGGTTAGACTAAGTTGCTTTCACAAATCACCAAACTATTTGGCCTAAACTTAAGATTTCTATTTTTGCTTTTTTAATATTTGAGTTCTTCAAACACACAGTGAGTGTTTTAGTAGGAAGCAGGTGAATGCATTGGGAGGAGTTCAGAGAGAACTGAGAGAAATGACAGCATGTGTGAGTGTTCTGGAGCATAGGAGATAAAGAGACTGTTGAGGCCTGGGCCAAGGGCAGAAATTAAACTGAAAAGATAGTAAATCAGAGTCCTAGAATTGAGCTGGGAACAGAAGGACTATGAAGGAAATTGGAGGATTCTGCAAACATAGTGCATAGTAGTTTGACAGTTACCTCTATGTGACCCATTAATAAATCCTGCTGCGTGAAAAACACAGGCTTAGACAATCAGCACCTAACTACTCTGATTTCTGAAAGATTTTCCATTTCAGAAAACCGTAAGTCTCTTACTCTAAGTTTGTATTGTAGATGATGAAATGCTATTTTTCCAATCACTTATGCATTTATTTAAGTATATATGTATCTGCATATTTGTGCGCACACACACACATTATCTTTTCTGAGTTACCCAGAATACCTTGCTAAAAACTAGACACATGGACAGTTTCAACTTTTCAACTTCAGCCATTTTTAGTTATCTGTGTATTTTTTTAAATCCTGAAATTGCTTTCAAAGTGGAAAAATTGTGTGGGCTTTTTTCATCTTTTCATAACTCAAAAACGACTTAATATGTTTTTCTCAAACTTTGCAAAAAAAAAAAAATCACCTTTGGGCTGAAACCAAGCATGGAAAATTTCACCACAAAGGGCTAATTTTTTGGAAAGCTGCAAGAAAGTGAAAACGGGTTTATAATAGAACATTCTTCATGCATGTTAATACTTAGTACTTTATCTAATGCATTTCATCTGAGAATTTCTGAACACTTTTCAGATTTAAATATTGAGCCATTTTAATATTTGTGTACCAATGATATATTGTCAGATATCGAAAAGTTCCCCCATCCTCTCAGATGTCTAATAGCTTGGGAATTA
Source organism: Homo sapiens (assembly GCF_000001405.40). Taxonomy (NCBI): domain Eukaryota; kingdom Metazoa; phylum Chordata; class Mammalia; order Primates; family Hominidae; genus Homo; species Homo sapiens. The sequence goes on along the minus strand of NC_000002.12, from coordinate 20,763,696 downwards.
GTGAGATGTGTTTAAAATGACAGGTGGGGCAAATGAAGTTAAGTGGCTGCTAGCCAGAGAAAGCTGTATATTTACTGCCCAACACATTTTATCACTACCTCTTCTTGGCCCAGGAGTACTGTAGTTGTAAGTAAAATATAATAGATGACACTGGGCACTAATTTGAATAAGCCAACATGTCTCAAAGTAGTATCAACAGCACCTGTGATCTTGTTAGAAATGCAAATTCTTCCCCCTCTTCACCCCAAGGGGTGGGGCTCACCAACCAGCATTTAACTAGCACTGCAGGTGATTCTGGTACATGCTTAAGTTTGAGAACCACCTACCTAAGCTTTCCAAAAGCTTGGAACAGAATGCATTGAAATGCTGTGGACAGTTAAATCTGTCCTTGGTCTTTCTGTGATGTCAGCTCTGTCTTCTCATATCCCTTGGAAGCAGGAGGAATATGAATCAAATTCTCTGAAGGAAAGGTCTTCTGTGTTAATGTGCTCTAGTTCTTTCCACCTATGACGTTGTCCATAAACACAGAGACTCCCTTGAGTAAATGTGCTGATATCAGCTTGTTCAGGGTAACAGCACTACCAAGATGTATTTTCTCATTTCCTTGAATTATTAGGGTCAAAACTGAAATGGGACTATAAATTTCTTTCTTATTTCTTTGGAATCTTTTAAGTTCTAAGATGGTATCAGATGTGTCAGTGGAAGTTGATTGAAGCTCTTTGGTGTGTAAGTTCTCAATCTGACGCTTTGCAGTAGACCTCTGCATTTCAGCAAACTCCATGGTCTGTATTTTTGTGTCTTCAGGCACGGAAATAGTTGTTTACGTGGCATTGTAACAAGTTTTGAAAATATTACCCTGGTGATGGAAGTCACTAGTCTGTAGTATGTGGGCCTTTAGCTAATCCTTTTAGCTTAGGTTAATTTCTTACAATAAATAATTTGTAGAAATTCATAAAAAGGACAGCAAGTTCTCAAAGATGCAAAGGATGTGAACAGATAATTCACTGAAGAACTAATATATCAAAAAGTGTGTGCCTACCACAATGTGTGATAGTGTTTAATGAATTAGTATATAGTAGTATACTTAATGATGTCTGTTTATATTGAGTATGGTAGTATTTGCTAATGTTCATTTGATGAATGAACCTCAACAGTTATCAAAATTAACTATTACTATTACATAGTCTAAAAGAAAAGTTGTGTTGTGTATGTGTGTACTTCGATATCCATTTTAAATAAGTTTGAACAGGTAAATACCAGGTGGCTTATAGTAGTTTTCTCTGGTGGTTAGGGGTAAAGGATGTATTGGAGTGAAAACTCTACATTGTTTCTGCTTTTCTTTATAATGACCATGTATTATCAGAAAAAAATAATTTCCATTAAAAAAGTATTCATACCCTTTGAACCTACTAATTCTTTTTTTTGGAATTTATATTAAGAAAACAGACAAAGATAGAAAAAATCATGTGCAAAACTATTATCTATTATAACAAAAAATTGGAAACATCCTAATGTCCAACCTTAAAGGCAAGGTTAGGTAGAGTATGGAAAGTACAGCCATTAAAATTATATTTGCAAAAGACATTATAATACATAAAAGTTAATTATAGAATATTAAGGATGTCAGAATACATAGAGAATGTGTGAATACAACTGTATAAAAATCACACATGGAAAAGCTTGATAATTATAAAATGAATTTAGTGGTTGTATTTAAGTGGTGAGTTTGGGTTTTTTTTTTCTATTTTTTATTTTTGAATTTTCTGTAATGACATATATTTATTCACTATTATAGACATTTAATGGTCATGCATTTTTCTCTCTCTTTTTTTTTCTTTTAAGGTGATTTGTTCATGTTACTTTAGAGCAGAAAGTTGTTCCAGGATAGATCTTTTTTAAAAATTTAATTTTGGATTCATAGGGTACATGTACATGTTTATTACATGAGTATATTATGTAATGGGGGGGATTGGGCTTCCAGTGTACCAGTTACCCAAATAGTGAACATTGTACCCAGTAGGTATAAATTATGTTTGCTTTGTATATTGTCAAGTTCAGTGCAGTCCTTCTTAGGGCTCAAGTTATCCTACAGGGCCCATATTAAATACCAACCTTCTTAAGTCCTTCTGGGTACAAGATAGTTTATAAATAGACAAAAGAACAAATAAGTCATTAGCCAAATGTCACTTCCTGCATGAAAACTTTGCTGATTGCTCCGATAGAATATAACTTCTGCTACTTTTGGGCCAATGATATTGTCTCCTGTAGCTTTTCTGTTGTGGCTTGTAGCTTAAGTGTAATTTTTTTTTATAGCCACAAGAACAAGAGCTGGCTTGTTTTCTTTGTACCCTTGCAAGTTCTAGCATAGGGTCTTACACATCCCAAAAGGAAGACATCCATTTTTTTTTTCATTTAATTAAATTAAACTATATGAAAGTTACATCAGCAGCTTCTGCTGGTAAAATTCTCACTTGGTTCATAAGTGCCACTGACTTCTTCTGTTCATACAGATTAACCACTGCATTGACCTTAAGGAAACAGTTGTCTTGTTCGACAGTGAAAGAGAATACAGATCAGCAGCAAGAGTTAGCAGCTATATACATCCAAAGGAGCAATACTAATTCAGCTTCTATAAGATAGAATTGAAGAATATTATTATGGTCTCGGAATAGTTGAAGATTTCTTAAATTGGATAGCACAAATGTTTGTACAAAATACTGCTGTAAGTGAAAGGAAAGAGCTTAGGGGTGTGGCGGACAGACTTTAGGGTGGGTGGCACCCCATGATCCTCACCTCCTAATGTTCATTCCTACACGTAATCCCCTCCATAAGTGGATATGACTGATGACTTGCATCTAACCAACAAAATATGATAAAGGTGACAGACAGGAAGCACATGATTATGTGTATGTGATTTACATACCTAAGATTGTAAGGCCTGTCTTGCAGAAGTCTCTCTCCCATGCTGGCTTTAAAAGCAAACTGCCATGTTGTGGGTTGTCTATGTTGGGCGGCCTATATGGCAAGGAGTTGCAAGGGGCCACTAGAAGCTGAAAGCTGCCTTCCGTCAACATCCAACAAAAAAACTGAAATCCTTGATGCTACACTACAAAGAACTGAATCCTCTCCACAACCTTAGTGATTTGTATCCTTCCCCAGTCAAGCCTCAGATGAGACTGCAGCCCTAGCTGACACCTTGATTGCAGTCTGGTAAGATGCTAAGCAGAGAACCCAGCTAAGCTAGGCCTGGACTCCTGATGTGCAGAAACTGTGCAATATCAAGTTCGTATTGTTCTAAGCTGCAAAGTTTTAGTAATTTATTACATAGCAATAGATAACAAATCAAGAAGAAAGTAAAAGGGTAATAGCAACTCCTTGTTTTCTTTGCAGGAAAACCCACCTCTAAGACCAGTAGTGGCCCTAAGTTAGTATCAGCATTGTAGCAGTAGCAGCTAGCCTAGCCTTTTCCCCTGTCACTTTTCCCTGCTTTTACACTATCTTACCCACTCTTCCTACTCCACTCAATTACCTAGACTTTTGGTCTTCCTTGCAATTTTTTTATTAACATTACTTCTCTCCCCACCTCAAAAAAAAGATAATTTGGGTTGTTGATAAGCATGTCTTTTGATAGCTTGCCTGGTGATTATTTGATGTAATAACAAAATCACAGGTTGGGATTCATTAGCATCATTCATCCTACTCTAGGTTGAAGCAGATCTTATTTGAAAGTATTGCCATATTCAAATCTCATCTGACCAAGAGGTTAATAGTGGTAGGATATTGAGAGGCCCTGTGGTATGAGAGAGTGGCCCATGCTAAGGCAGAGGTGATACATTTGTGAATTCCCTTGCATTTGTGTGGATATAGGTCTGAAAAATGTCGCTTGTACCTGGCCACACTGAAGCCTTGTTCATAGAAGAGCACATTCATAGAGCCTCAGTGGACAGACTATAACTATCAGAGAAGACATAACAGGGAGGGGAGTGGAAACAGATGAACAACATTCTGTGAAATTGCCTCTTTTTGGCTTTTGTTTAGTTCAGATAGAAGCTTCTTTCTAGGTCTGTTTGTGGAGATGAGAAGTATGATTGTGATCTTTAAGAAAGGAAAAAGCTCTCTAATATGGTTAACCAGCATGTATGAGGTTGTTTTACGCTCACTTCCAGCTTGTATGGAAAATCTGTGAACAATATGCAATGTAGGCCACAAAAAATTTCCTGAAATGGAAAAAGCCTAGCAGGCACTAAATGAAAGCTAGGCACTAAATGAAAGATGCTTCACAAGAATAAAATGTGGTTGCTTTGAGATCTCACATTCCAGGCCATTTCAGACTAATTGTATTTGTTTGGGAAGAAGCAAGATTGTCAGGTATCAGGAAGGTGTATTGATACATAAAAGATGGAAGCCAGCGTCATACTGCAAACCTCTCCCTAGGAAGCCAGACAGTAAATCATTTTCCAGGGTCAGTCATATAGAGACCAGAGGGAGCATGCATGAATGAAGACACAGTCTAGAAACTCCATTTCAACAAATAGTTTCTCCCCTCACCAGTACTGTTATGGGAGCTTCTGCAAAAAGCCAAATTGAGTGTTAGAGATTCAGCCTTTTCCCCTTTCATAATCTACTACCCTTAGGAAGATGCTGAGGAGCTTCTTATAACCTCTTACAAAGGAGAAAGTCTCTGAGAGCTTCAGTAATATTATATTAATGTCAATAGACATTTTTTCAGAAGAGATTTCATAAAAACTTAAGGACATATTCTGGTTATCTGGGTACCAGGAGGGTTCTCCTTAAGGCCCTTGTTTCCTTCCGTTCATAGTTGCTGTGTTTGCCTTACAGTCCCTGCACTTAGGGCTCCATCCTGACTTTATAATTTCTCATTGTCTAGATATATATTTTCCTATCTATGTGCCTTTGTTGAGCTACTTCCTTTCTGCTTTGTCCCACACCATCTAACTGATGCCTCCTGTTCTTCTGGAAAATCATCTCAAACATGAGCTCCTGTGTGAACTCTTTCCTGATTCTTCCCAGTCATTTTTACTCTGTCCTTCCTTTGGTAACACTTTTTCTCATAATTCTTCTATATTCTACCCTATATTATAGGCATTGCATATTTCTTTGATTTTTCCTGTTAGATGTTTCAGCTTTCCTTTTAACTAGAGCATAATCTGCATACAGTAACTCTTTTGTTTGTCTCCCTGCCTCGTTCTAGATATTTCTTCTGACTTAACATTCTACTTCACTAATCCTCACTTGAGCTATGTATAAACACCTTTAAACTCATCTGTTACATCCTCAATTTTAGTTATTCTATTTTTTGCCTATAAAATTTCCATTTTATTGTTATAATTACTAATTCCTGCAAATCTCCATCTTGTCATTTAATATCTTGATCATATTATAGTTATTTTAAACTCCCTATCTGACTTTATTCTCCTTTGTACCATCAACAATTTTTAAAATTATCATTACTTTTATAAAAGTTCAGAGATCATATATTTGACATGAAAATAAATAAAGATTGTGTCTGATAATTCCAACATCTAAGTCTCATGTGGTTGCATTCCTACTTCAGCTTTTTCCTTTGCTTTGGTTATATTATCTTGTCTATCCGTATGCTTGTGTATTAGTCCAGGTTTGCCAGAGAAACAACCAATGGGATGTATGCACATGGAAAGAGGTTTATTATAAGGAATTGGCTCACATGTTTATGGGGGTTGACAAATCCCAAGATCTGTAGTCAGCAAACTGCAGACCTAGGAAAGCCAATGATGTAATTGTAGTTTCAGTCCAAAGGTCTGAGAGCCAGAATTTCTGATGGTTTAATTCCAGTCCAAAGGCTGGCAGCCTCAGGACCCAGGAAGAGCTGATGTTTCATTTTGAGTCTGAAGACAGAAAAAAAAAAAAGTCCTAGCTTGAAGGTGGTCAGGCAGAAGGAATTCTCTTTTATTAAACCTTTTGGTTCTAGTCAGACCTTCAACTGATTGGATGAGGCTCACTCACATTAGGGAGGGCAATATGCTTTACTCAGTGTACCATTCAAATGTTAATCTCAGCCAGAAACACCCTCACACATCCAAATTGTTTGACCAAATATCTGGGCACCCTGTGGCCCAGTCAAGCTGACATGTAAAATTGACCATCACAGCTTGGCAAGTATTTTTTTTAACTGAATACCTGACATTATATGTGAAAAATTAGTAAAACAATATTAGAATCTTATCTTCCTCCAGGGAGGATTTACCTTTGTTTTTGCAATTATTCTTAGGGTAGGTCACTTTGATGCCATTGGGAATTGGGTTGAATCAAAGCTATCTTTGGAGGGGCTGGCCTATTTCCAGTTCATCGTTACTTCTAGGGTATAGTCCTTTAATAGTTTCCACTGAAAGCCTAGAGTGCCTTCTCTTTTATGGGCACACAATTCCCAGGTTTTTCCTTCAAGCTCACAAGATTTTTCAGAAACTCTCTTCAGCTTCTTGGCTTCTTAGCTACTGCTTGCAAATCAGCAAATAACAAAGAAAAGCTACTTCAGCACTCCTCTCTGAAGTTCCTTTTTCCCTAGCATTTTAGCCTTCAAATCTCCTCTGCCTCTGATGCCTTCAAGGGGACTTTAAAAAACTTTCCCAACTTTTCTAATTGTTCTTGGCAAGGAGATTGCTCTCCAACAAGATAGCCTGCCATCTTCACCTCCTATCAACACCATTAGCAGCTGGTGCTGAGCTTTAAGTTCTTCCAGCTCTGCTATTGAGAAGTATGTCATTTCAAGTTTTTAATTATTTTTGTGAACTGTTTTCTTCCTCTGGAAAGTTTTAGAATATTCACTTTATTGTCAGTATTATATTTTCTGATGATATTCCTTGGACTATTTATCCTTTTTAATCCAGAAACTGGCATACTTACACACTGAAAACTCTTGTATTTTTTTCTCTACTTGTTTTCTCATTATTTGTGTGTTATACTTTCAGAAAAGATTTTCTTGATTTATTTTCTTTTCCATTATCCATTTCTTTCAATTTTTAGTTTTTTGCAATGAGAAATAGGGGATATTTTCCCTACTTTATCTTCCAATTCATCTAATTAAACTTTTGATTTTGGCATCTATGCAAATAGTTTCTAAGGAATTTCTTGTTCTTTTCTTCCTTTTTGTAATATCCTTTTTATTTTTACTTCATGGGTCTCTCTTTCTCTCTCTCTCAGGAAAACATTTTTTAGAGTTTTTGGGCTCCTGCATTGTCTGTATTCATTCTGAATTCCTTTCTTCATGCTTTTAAAAAAAGTACTGATCTGTCTCTTGTAAGTGAAGCTTTCCTCAAATGTCTAGTGCTTATTCATTATCCACTCATATTTAAGAATGAGGCACCAGGCTGGGCACGGTGGCTCTCACCTGTAATCCCAGCACTTTGGAAGGCCGAGGTGGGTGGATCACCTGAGGTCAGGAGTTCGAGACCAGCCTGACCAATATGGTGAAACCCCGTCTCTACTAAAAATACAAAAATTAGCTGGGCATGGTGGCGCACACTTGTAATCCTGGCTACTTGGGAGGCTGAGACAGGAGAATTGCTTGAACCTGGGAGGCAGAGGAGGTTGCCCGGAGCCAAGACCGCGCCACTACACTCTAGCCTGGGTGACAGAGTGAGACTCCGTCTCAAAAAAAAAAGAAAAAAAGAATGAGGCACCAAAACTATCAGGAGGTTTTGTATGGGAGTGGGTTTGGTCAGCTGGTCAGCTGTACTACAGGGTAATTTGGACAGGTATCCAACTTTTTTTGGTGTGGTATTCTCCAGTGTACATATTTTTTCTGGAGCCATTAAGTCTCTTCAGAAAAACATTTTCAAACCACTTATCTAACACACAGCATCCTGAAGCAAACAGCTCAAGGAGCTGGAGTTTGCATGGGAGAATGTCTTAGCATTTAGTATTTTGGCTTTCACTTATATTGTTTTTATGATGTTCCTTTTCCCCTGCCTTTTTCTGTGCCCTGTGTCTCCAGATCAGGAGCCTCTTTCTTCTATTTCTACACAGAATAAACCTCCAGGCCATGATGGGGTTATGGAGAAGTTGCTTGAGGGTATTGGATGAGGCAAGTGTCCCAGGGGACTGGCTGCCTCTCAGCCAGCCTTTCATTCATCAAGTCTGCTCTGTGCCCTGCACTGTTACTGGCACCTGTTATGGTCTTGGATCCATCTGTGAACAAAATAGGAAAAGAAACAAAAAACAAACTGCTTATGCAGAATTTACAGTTTACTAAGGAGAGATGGTAATAAGCATAAAAATGAGTAAATTAATATGTTCAAAGGTGATACTGCCTTGATATAAAGAGTGGAGCAAGATAAAGGGGATTGGAAGCACCATGGCTGGGGGATAGAGGGCAGTGGTGGACTGCAAGTGATTTTTAAAACTTTTTATTTGGAAATAATTTCAAACTTAGAGAAGAGTTGTAAGACTAAGAATAGTGCAACAACATGAGATACACTTTTACCAGATTTACCTGTTGTTAATATTTTACCTCATTTGCTTTATTTGCTCCCCTACACACACACACACACACACACACACACACACACACAAACACAGACACACAATATTTCTTCTTGAACCGTTTGAGGATAAATTGAATATATTATTGCCCCTTATCCCTAAAGACCTCCTTAAGATGTTCTTAAGAATAAGAATATTCTCTTAATCAACCACAGTACAGTTATCAATGTCAGTAAATGTAATATTGATGTAATACTTTAATCTACCTTGCATATTCCCATTTTGTCATTTGGCCCACTAATGTCCTTGATAGCATTTTCCCTCTTCCACTATGGTCTGGAGAATCAGGTATTGCCTTGAATTTTCATGTTCCTTTATTCTCCTTTAGTATGAAACATCTCAAGCATATTCCTTTGTTTTTTCATAAAACTGACATTTTGAAGAATATAATTCCTTTTTAAAAAGAGATTATCCTGATTTTGTATTTGTCTCATGTTTCCTTTTGACTAGATTAAGGTTTTGCATTCTTAGCTGTAAAATAATACCTCATAGGTGATGCTATGTCCTTCTCAGAGTAGGTCACCTGCAGGCACATGACATCCAGCTGCTCATCATTGGTGATATTAATTTCAATCACCTAATCGAGATGTTATGCAGAATTTCTCCACTGCATGCTTTACTTTTTCTTTTCTTTTCCTTTTTTTTTTTTTTTTTTTTTGTGGCGAGGGTAGTTGGAGTCTTGCTCTGTCACCCAGACTGGAGTGCAGTAGCATGATCTCAGCTCACTGCAAACTCCACCTCCTGGGTTCAAGCAGTTCTCCTCCCTCAGCCTCCCGAGTAGCTGGGATTACAGGCACTTGCTGCCAGGCCTGGCTAATTTTTTTTTATTTTTTTAGTAGAGACGGGTTTCACCGTGTTGCCCAGGCTGGTTTCAAACTCCTGAGCTCAGACAATCTGCCTGCCTCAGCTTCTCAGAGTGCTAGGATTATAGGCATGAGCCACCGCGCCCAGCCTGCGTACTTTACTTTTTCTTAGCAATGAATAAAGAGTCTATGGGGAGGCACTTTTTTTTCATGTCAATATCCTCCTCTTCAACGAAATTTTCTCCTAGATTCAACATCCATTATTTATCCTTGCCTGATCCAATCTTTACCAAGATTTTCTAACTGTAGTACTTTCTTCACATAAACCCATTAGAACTCAATATTCTTTTATAAGCAAGAACCTTCCTTCTTATGTATGTTTAATTTGTATATATGTATTTATCAGCATGGACTTATGAATTTCGGATTTATTAAAGGTATATGATTCATTACCATATTGATTTTGGTGATAAAATTATTCCATATTTGGCCACTGGGAGCCACTTAAGTCGGGCTCCTGTTGTAACTGCAATTTTAAGCAAGATGTTTATTAGGCATCATAGAAGTGACCTGCTGGAGGTAGAGTTAGCCACATGGCTATCTAGGGTACAAGGGTTCTAAACAGCAGAATAGTTATTACAAAGGCTTTAAGGCCGTGAGTATGCCTGTTTGAGAAACAGCAAGGCCAGTGTGACTGGAGCAAAGTGACTAAGGTGTGAAGTAATAAGACAGGGAAACTTTCATTGCATTTGCCCTCCCCACACTCTTCTATATCCTGTGGTCCAGAAGAAACATTAAATACACCCTTATACCCACCAACAAACGAAGAAGTAAAAACTGCCATTAAGCCAACTTCTTGAATTTATTTTGTATGTTGTAAAATCCAGATAGCTACATATAGATGTGTACTTTTTGAAAATGTATCCCATCAGCCAGTGATAGTTGTATTTCCATGGAGATTATTCCAGTCGCCTGTATTTGAACAATTATACAGGATCTGACTGTAATTAGAAAAAGGAGATGGGCCCAAGTCAACCTAGTACAAGTTTGGATTTCACATTTTAAATCATTGGTTAAATAAAAACAAAGTGAAGATGAAAATGTTTCTTTTGTTAAAAAAGATAAGAAAATATAAAATTGGAGCTTTTATTAATTTATACATGTCTCAGAGAAATAATAGTCACAGAGAAGTAGCAGACAGTGGCATGCACTTATTAGCTTCTCACATTATTATATTACACTGGAAACATGGGCTGTTACTGTACAGTGAAACTAGAGTTTAAGGTGGAGAACCAGATTGACCTGATGCATGTGTTTATGAGTTTCACATTGAAGGTGCCTGGTTTTTGTTGTTGCTGTTGTTGTTGTTGTTGTTGTTGTCGTTGTTTTCTCTCCAAAGAATACAGCTTAGAATGAGTGAGGCAAGCTCAAATCATGTAGCTGTAACTGTCAACTTGGTGAATTTCTGAGTTATCAGAAAGTGAGACTCTGGGCATGATGAGGCCATAAGTCAGGGAATATCAGCAACCATCAGAAGCTGGAAGAAGCAAGGAATGGATTCTCCCCTAGAGCTTCTTGACACAGTGCAGCCAGGGCATCTTTATTTCAGCCCAGTGATACTGATTTGGCCTCCAAAACTGCCAGAGAGTAAATTTTTGTTATTTGAAGCCACCCATTTGTAGCAATTTGTTACAGCAGCTGCTGGAAACTACTACATTGCCATTGACACTTGATCGCTATTTCAGTACGAAGACCTGTGTATCTGTCTTGTTCAGTGATACTGATTTGGCCTCCAAAACTGCCAGAGTGTAAATTTTTGTTATTTGAAACCACCCATTTGTAGCAATTTGTTACAGCAGCTGCTGGAAACTAATACATTGCCATTGACACTTGATGGCTATTTCAGTAGGAAGACCTGTGTATCCGTCTTGTTCAGTTTGGGGGAAACTTTCATGCATTATTTCTGTCATGTTCCCTTCCCTCCCTCCCTGTCTTTTCTTTCTAGAACTCACTTGATAGGACATTAGTTTTCCTGGGTTGGGTGTCTGATTTTCTTTCCACCTGTTTATCTCTATGCTTTCAGTGGAATTTTTTTCCACTCAGTCTTTTTCACTGATATTTTTAAATTGAAGTATAAATTTTTTTTTTTAAATACTACTGTCTTGACCAGGCACAGTGGCTCATCCCCGTAATCCTAGCACTTTGGGAAGCCAAAGTGGAAGAATTTCTTGAAGTCAGGAGTTCAAGACCAGCCTGGGCAACATAGTGAGACCCTGTCTCTACAAAAAATACAAAAATTAGCCTGGTGTGGTGGCGCACACCTGTAGTTCCAGCTACTTAGGAGGCTGAGACAGGAGGATCACTTGAGCCCAGGAGGTTGAAGCTGCTGTGAGCTGTTATCATTGCCACTGCACTCTAGCTTGGGCAACAGAGCAAGAACTTGTCTCTATAAAACTAAATAAATTTAAAAATAAAAAAAGAATACCACTTTGTTTACTGCGTGTTTCTTTTATATCCCACTCATCATTGATACAGTATTTTCTCTTAGCTCTAAGCAAATTACAATTTCGTCTGATTCTTCATTGTCTTTTCCTCTGAGTTTTATATTTGTTGTGCTGTCTTTCATGTTAGAGGCTTTACCTAATATCTGTCAATCTGTTGTTTCTTTATAGTAAGGAAGTTTTTCCCCCTGAAATCAATGGATGAATGGGAATTATATTTTTAAGTTATTAGAATAAGTTAAAAATGTGTAAATAGAATAAATGCATTTGCAGGGCATTTACTCTCATAAGACTGAGGGAGAGCATATGTGTGTATTGTGGCTTATTGTTACAACTATCTCCTAGATTCATTGAAGATAGAAGTTACGTTTGTTTCATAGTCTCCTCATTGGCTTGTAGCAATTTTTCAAAAGAAGGAAGGAAACATTTTTACCTTACAATAAAAGTCTGAAACCACATATTTTATGGTGATCTATAGGAGGACTAACTGGAACCAGTCACAGGGTACTGTCCCTAACAGAATGTGCATCTTTCATGCAGTAATTATATTTTACTAGTGGAAACTACATTCCAGGAAACCTTTACATAAAGGTTTTACAATGTTGAAAATAAAAGATATGCTTTTTACCTTTAAAAAGAAAGGTGGAACTTAATTGAGAATATTATAGAATTATTTCAAAATCAGACTGCTTTTAAAAAAACTTCAACTTTTATTTTAGATACCGGGGGTACATGTGCAGGTTTGTCAAACGGGAATATTGCATGATGTTGAGGTTTGCGATACAGATCCTGTGACCCAGGTAGTGAGCATAGTACCCAATAGGTAGTTTTTCAATCCCCCCATCCTCAAGTGGTCCATAGTGTTTATTGTTCCCATATTTATGTCCATATGTGCTCAATGTTTAACTTCCTTTTGCAGGTGAGAACATGCAGCATTTGGTTTTCTGTTCCTGCATTAATTTGGTTAGGATAATGGCCTCCAGCTCCATCCATGTTGCTGCAAAGGACATGATTTCATTCTTTTTTATGGCTGCATAGTAGTCCATGGAGTATATGTACCATATTTTCTTTATCCAGTCTACCACTGATGGGCATGTGGGTTGTTTCCATGCCTTTGTTATTGTGAATAGCACAACAATGAACATAAGTGCATGTGTCTTTTTGGTAGAATGACAAAGTTAGTCTTTGATTTAATGGTGACAAATGTGCTTAATTACTTAATGCAAACTTTGCTGTATGCATTTGAAAAGCGTCAGTTAGTTCTATCAATTGGAAATATTAGCTGTACTTACTGAACAACTGTCTAGAGCCATTGAGTTAGGTGAATTTCTTGGTTACTGACTAACACAGAGTATATGATCCTCAGTTTCATCATAGAGCATATTCAGATACCGTGGAGGCACTTTTGATGGACAAAGGCTATCAGCAATGCTATCCAGTCCCATTAGGGAAGTTAAGAGTCTCCCCAGAGTCTGTTGTCCTTTCTCTGAGCTCTGCAGAAGCTGAGACCTCAGAAGTTTAGTAAGGCAGCCCGGGCACAGTGGCTCACGCCTGTAATCCCAACACTTTGGGAGGCTGAGGCAGGTGGATCACCTGAGGTCAGGAGTTCGAAACCAGCCTAGCCTATGTGGTGAAACCCCGTCTCTACTAAAAGTACAAAAATCAGCTGGGTGTGATGGCATGTGCCTGCAATCCCAGCTACTACGGAGGATGAGGTGGAAGAATTGCCTGAACCCAGGAGGTGGTGGTTGCAGTGAGCTGAGATTGCACCATGGCACTCCAGTCTGGGCGACAGAATGAGACTTTGTTTCAAAAAAAAAAAAAAAAAAAAGTTTAGTAAGGCAGACGTAAAAATCAGGAACTAAATTTCGGTTATTGCTGAGTCTGGGAGATACCATGGTACCACCAGGAGGGATGCTACCCTTATGAACCTGTTCTGTCTGGGAGTAAATGGGAGGAGGAAACCCCCTTCAGAGACCTGTGAGGAAGAAATAAACATCAGATATGTCTTCTTTCCTGAACTAAGCAGGACAGATCCTAACCTGTTCTGTTATCAAAGCTGATATGGGGACTTATACACTTCAGCCATTTGGGCCTAACCTTTTCTCTGTGAGTTAACTGCTTATATTCCCAAGGTTTAGTCTCTATCTCATGGGGTCTTAGCTGCCCTAACTGATGGATTTGCTTCTTACCACATAAAATTGAACAAGAAAGCTGTACTCTTTGCCTTCCAGTTGACTTCCTAGACGCTGAGAGTGTCCTGGGGCAGCTTCTGTGGCAGAAATCCCTTGTGGCTGGGGCTGTGCTGTGTGCCCTATACATGCCTCTGGCTATGGGCCTTTGCATTATATTATTCATCCTTGGCCTGAAACCCTGTCACGGATACCTTTGCCTCATCTTAGTACTGGTATAAAATGGCATTTTAGTATATGGAACTGAAGTATACATGTTTCACAATATCTTTTAGTAAAGTTAAATAGGGAATAATTTTTTTACTGGTTTCACTGAATAACCCTGTATTCTATCATCAGCACTTTGCTTGTGTACTCAGTGTTTGTCAAGAAAATTTCTTTCTGAGCTGCTTTTCAAAGGTTCCTTGACCCTTATAGAGAAGAAATTTTGAGTGCCTATTTAGTATGTTTCTATTTTACTCTTCATTTCCCATGTCCTGATACCTCTCTAAATATCTCTCCCACTAGACTTTATGATCTCTGAAGGCAGGGACTTTGTCTTGTCACCCCTGTGTCTCCAGCACTCAGCACAGCACCTGGCATACTGTAGGTACTCAGTATATCTTCATGAATGAACAAATGAACAAATGAATGAACAACCAGTAGATCTAAGGAATGGCTCCCCCTCCCAGTCATGCTAGGCCTGCGCTTTTAAATATTGGGGTTTTTAACTTAGAACAGTCCCAGTGCCATTGCCAAAGATAGTGGTGGGGTGTGTGTGTGCTTCCTGACCCATACATAGCACTCCAGCTCCAACTTTATGCCAAGTAGCAGTTTCTTGATCAGCAGAGCCATCCTATCACATTCTGTGTAGCTTTACCTCTAGGAACCATGAGAAAGGCCTGTTATTGCCAAAGGCCATAGTAGTCATGTGAGAATTTTGTAGCTATAGACCTTAAGGTTTGCTATTCACTATTCACTGAATTCTGAGGCTACCTGGAGAACACTGTTTAATTCAAAATAACAGGTGCTTCCTAAGAGATAGTTGTACTGCAGAGCAGCAGGTAAAGAATAATTTGCAGTGAGCCTGTGAGCATCATTGTTTTCTGAATGAGCTGTCAGTGATTCTAAATCAGAAGAGCCCAAAACGAAGTGGTTTCCACAAGATTTCAAGCTGAGGAGAACAGCATTTTGCATCCAAAATAAAATAAGTGCAGAGAATATAAAATGATAAAAGCTTGAGAAGAATGGGCTATAGGAAGATATTGAAGCTAAGTTTCAGGTGTTTGTGCAGTTATAAGTTATGTAAAGACCTCTGCAAATATGCAAACATTCCTTATTATTAACAACCGTGACATGAAGATTAAAAGTATTAAATGGCTTTTTTTTTCACATTCAGGTAATTAAAGTGTAGAAAAATCTCTGCCCCAGAGGTCTGAATATAATTCACATGAATGGAAAATGGCAAAAGTGGTTAGTTTCTTGAGTACCATCTTAACTGAAACATACTAAAATGGCATAATTTTGTTTCAGTAATCAGTAGTTGAAAGATCTCATGCTTTACTTCTTAGGATATGGATTTAATTATTTCTGGAGCTAAATGATTTGAGACACTTGTAAAGATTAGCCCATATCTAACAATAATAGTAGTAATTGGTTCAACCATAAGAAAATTGCCTCCAAACAATAACAATTACAAATAACTTATTTTGTACGTAAATATATAGTATATATAAAGGTTAATGGCATGGATTCAGAAATCATCCTGCTTTAATTCATATCTCTGTCACTTTGTGGCTGAACCTCAGTTTTCTCTTCAGTGGAATGAGGGAACTTCATAAGGTTTTTATGTGTATTAAATGAAACAATATATATAAAGTGCATAAGTGTAGTACCTAGAAAATAGTAAGCTATCACTACTACTGTTAATCCAAGTACTTCCCTGCGAGGCATATTCTTATCTTTCTGACATATGAAGTTTTTAAGACAGAGTAGAAAATCTCAAAAAGCAAACTCTTGATTAAAATATAATGGCATTTGCAGTTTATAAACTGCATACTTAGTAAATAAGCTTACTAAGCTTGTGTTTCCAGTGTGATCCTAAGGAGAAGAACACATGGCCTTATGGGAAGAGGAGATAAACTAAACTAGGATTACTTCTAGACCTATGTTTTGACAGCTAGCAAGTTTATCTTTGAAGGCTGTCTGGTTGACATTGCATGTTGGCTAAGACATGCCTTACAAATATTGCAGTCACATAAAAAGAGAAACTGTGTGCTATTTTTTTGTTTGTTTTCTGCTTGTACGGTGGAGAAGCACCCTGCCATAAATACATTGGGTGGGTTAAACTAATAAACAAATAGGCAGGGTGGCAGTGATAATGTTTTTTTGAAGATGTTGAAGTACTATTTGTCGCAGCTTCACTTAGTCATAACACATAGGCACCATTGCTGCTCTCCCAGAAAAATGGATGCATCTGTAATAAGCTATATAAACAGGTGAAGTCTTTCAAGGATTTTGAAGATTTACTGTTTTTTTAAAGCCTATTTAATGAAACAGGTTGTGCACAATCCACACCTAAGCACCATACTTCTTACCTTGTGGCCATACCTCAAATTGTTTCTTAGCTCCTTTTCTAAAAAATGATTACAACAATAATAATAAATTCAAGAAAAATAAGCATCAAAATACTTTCCTCTAACCCCTGCAAATGTATCCAGTATAAAAATTCCCAGTGTGCATATTTACCTTCCTGTACTGTTCAAGAAAACACGGTTGTGCTTCATTATCAAAAGTTCATTCTGGTAGATAACAGAAGAGAATGTGAAATATGCGAAAATGTTTTCTTAGGATAGAATGAATTGGCTAACATGGGAGTTCTTTTTTTAATGAGATAGTAACATAAGAAAATGTTTGGTCGTGTACACAGATTTGGAAACCTTCACCACACAGCTGTGTTATCAAATTAGGCATACTTCCTTGACTTAGGTGATTTTTTTTTTTACCAATATGAAGAATGAAAAATTTTTATTACTGTGATTTATCAAATTTGGACTGCAAATTTCATTGAAATTATCATTACAATATCTAGGAAAAGTGTCACCCAGCAGGTAATAATTGTTGTTCTCCAAAGGCAAGAGAGGAAAACCAGTCTCATCAACTAAGTATTAGTTGTGATAAGGTCTTTGGTCTTCTTATATTTTTACAAGGCAGTGACGCATTCAATGTACATATTAGAACTTCCTTATTGTTTTGGTCCATTCCCATTATTTCAGACTGCATTTTAATTCTCAATTTGTTATTGATATAGATCAATCAAATATAACCCTGTGGTTGCTTATATATTTTTAGAGTTTCCCTTACATGCAGTTTTGCTTAACATGGGTCACAGTAAAGGATCGTTTATAAAAGTAATGGATTGTTTCCTGTTTCTGCCAGCTGATTTGATCAATCTGAAGTTCCTTATGTACTATGGGTTACATAACCAGTCTGGAATCTGTGTGGTACATTCTTCTAGTTTGGTATTAACTGAATTAATCATTTATATTCTTTAAATCATTGAGGACATTTTAGTAAACACTTGAACTGCTCTCTTCTTCAAGTACTCTGCTCCAGCAATACTGTTCACCTGGCTCTTACTCAAACACACCACTTTAGCTTTCTATGGCCTCTGCACATGCTCTTCCCTCTCCCCACAAAATTTATTTTTCCAAGCATCTCTTAGCTCACCCCCTAACTGCCTTTGCACAAATGTCACCTTTCATCAAAGCCTTTCCTGAACACCCTATTTAAAACTATCCCACCACCCCTAGCAATTTCTAGTCCTCTTTTATTATTTTATCTGCCCCGTCATAGGACTTGTGACTTACTACCATCATACATATTTGATTCAATTATTATTTATTGCTTAAATTGTTATGATCATTTATTATAAATCATGTATTACAGCTAATTAACATACATATGCTCAGTCATTTACTTGATTAGTTATTAGCCTCAATTATATCTTATTTTTTAATATATATTTTTATTTGACAAATAGAAAGTATATAGATTGGTACAATATGATGTTTGGAAATAAGCATATATTGTGGAATGACTAAATCAAGCTAAGTAACTTATGCAGTACCTTACATGCTTATCTTTTGTTGTGATAAGAACACTTGAAATCTATTCTACTGTCTTAGAAATTTAAAAATGGGCAAAGGACTTGAATAGACATTTCTTCAAAAAAAATGCAAATGACCAACAGGTATATGAAAAGGTGCTCAACATCACTAATTATCAGAGAAATGCAAATCAAAACCACAATGATATATCACCTAACACCTGTTAAGATGTCTATTAGAAAAACAAAATGTAACAAGTGTTGATAAGGATATGGAGAAATAGAAATCTTTGTGTGCCTTGTACACTGTTGCAAGAGCATTAGTAGAACTACTTTGGAAAACTCTTTGTAATTATCTACTAAAGATGAATATATGCCTACTATATGACCCAGTGTTTCTACTTTGAAGTGATACAGCCAACAGAAGTACATGCATACATGCACCAAAAGACATATACAGAAATATTATTAGGACTTCTGGTTTCCAGTTCCACATGTAGGGAGCTTAGAAGTTGCCACTCCAACCCTAACAAGTAAAAAGCTAAGCAAACTGAGAAATCAATTCTTATCGGACCCAGGATAGGGGAGGACACAGGGAAAACCACTGTCCCCAAAAGACTAGAGAGACAGACTGGCAAATACCGAGAGCCACAAGTTACTAGAGCATGCAGTCACAAACAGAAACCCCCACAGGAAGCAGTGCCATGGTAGAAAAACCTGAGCTGTAATTGATGAATTATAGGAGGTTCAGTATGAACAACTCTGAAAGTTTTAAACTCCAGGAGGACCCACTCATGGGGAAACACCACAATTTTGTTAGACTTACCTACATGAGCTCAATTAGATTCTCCAAGTAAATATTGCAGAAAAATCCCTATGTGCTTCTGGCAGGGGGAAGGTGAAATGAACCATTTTGAAATATGCCAGAGCACTGTGCTCTTCTTAACAAGGTCTGCCCCCAGGAGAAATTAGTTAGCTAAATCCTAACCTGCTGGGGTATTATTAGAGCCTGACCCAAGGGAAGGGAAATACCTAACTCTTGTCAGCTCTAACCTTCTGCATCAGAGAAGGGAAATACTAAACTCCAGACAACTCTAGCCATCCTGTCCTACCAAAGAGGGGAGAAGAATACTGAGGAAACACTTAGAAGTTTGTACACCAGAGGCATATGCTTACTAAAAGACTGAGACTTAATCATAGGATGATAGAATGTCTCCCCTCCCCTTTCCCCCACCTAACTGCTACATTGCTAAAAGCTGATTTATAAAAGTTCCTTTTACCTGGTACATCATGTCCAGCTACCAAGAAAAAATTACCAGGCATACCAAAAGGCAAAAAAAAAAAAAAAAAAATCTGAGGAGAATAGAGCAAGCTTCAGACCCAGACAGATAGGGATTCTGGAATTATCAGATGAGGAATTTAAATCCACTATGATTAATATACTAATGGCTATAACAGATAAAGAAGGCATCATTCAAGAATAGGTAGACAATGTAAGAAGAGAGATGGAAATCCTAAGGAAAAAGCAAAGAGAAATGCTAGAGAGTAAAAACACCGTAAAATAAAAATGGCTTTGATGGGCTTATCAGTAGATTGAACATGGCTGAAGAAAGAGTCTCTGAGCCTGAGAATGTCTCAACATAAACCTCCAAAATTGGAAAGCAAAGAAAAAGACTGGGAAAAGAAAAAAAAAGAATAAGGACTGCAGGACAACTACAAAAGGTGAAACATATGCATAAGGGGAATACTAGATGGAAAAGAACGAGAGAAAGAAACAAGAAATATTTCAAACAATAATGACAGAGACATTTCTTAAATTAATGTCAGACATCAAACTTCAGATCCAGGAAACTCAGAAAGAAAATAATAGGGGTTTGAAACTCAGATCTCCATAAAGAAAAGAAGAGCATCAGAGAGGGAATAAACAAAGACTAAAATGTTCATTTTTCTTATTCTTAATTGATCTAACTGATAAGTTTGTTCAAAATAATAATAGCAACAGTGCTTTCGATTTTGTATGTTTATATGTTATATGTATGCTTACATATAAGTGAAATGAATGACAACAACACAAGGAGCAGGAGGGAAGACTTAGGATTATTTTGTTTTTGTATGATACACTACTTATAAAGTGGTATAGTGTTATTTAAAAGTGGACTTGGGGGTGCAGCGCACCAGCATGGCACATGTATACATATGTAACTAACCTGCACAATGTGCACATGTACCCTAAAACTTAAAGTATAATAAAAAAAAAAAAAAAAGTGGACTTGGACTAGTTGTAAATGGATATTGCAAAATCTAGGGCAACCACTAGAAGAATTTTTTTTTTTTAAGTATAACTGACATGCTAAGAAAGGAGAGAAAATGGAATCACATAAAATGCTCAATTAAAACCACAAAAGGCAGAAAATATGTGGAAGATGAAAATAGAAAATAATGACAAATGTGGTCTATATTAATTTAACTACCAGTAATCACTTTGAACATCAGTGGTCTAAGTGCACCAAATAGGCCTGGTGTGGTGGCTCACACCTGTAATCCCAGCACTTTGGCAGGCTGAGGCAGGAAGATCACTTGGGCCCAGGAGTTTGAGACCAGCCTGCACAACATAGGGAGACAGACCATCTCTACAAAAAATTTGAAAAATTAGCCAGGCGTGGTGGTGTGTGCCTGTAGCCCCAGCTACTCAGAAGGCTGAAGTGGGAGGATCTCCTTGAGCCTGGGAGGTCAAGGCTGCTGTGACAGAGTGAGACCCTGTCTCAAAAAAAAAAAAAAAAAAGGAAAAAGAAAAGAAAAAGAAAAGCACTAATTAAAAGATTGTTAGAGTGGATCAAAAAACAAGACTCAACTGTATGTTGTTTACAAGAACCCCACTTTAAATATAAAGACACATGTAAATGAAAAGTAAATGGATGGAGAAAAATATACCAAGCTAACACTAATCAAAAGAAAACAGGAGTAGCTATATTTCAGACAAGGCCGACTTTTCAAAGCAAAGAAAGTTATCCAGAATAAAAAAGGTAATTACGTAATGATAAAGAGGTCAGTCCTCCAAGAAGACATAACAGTCCTTTACATGCATGTGCCTAGCAGCAAAGCATCAAACTATGTGAGGCAAAAACTGATAGAACTACAAGCATAAATATATGCATCCACTATCATAGTTGGAGATTTCAACACCCCTTTATCAGAAATGGACAGATCCAGCAGGCAGTAAATGGGTAAAGACCTAGTTGAATTCAACAACACCATCAATCAACTTGATATAATTGACGTCTATAGACTACTTCATCCAACAAGAGCAGAATACACATTCTTCTCAAGATCACGTGGAACATTCACCAAGATAGACCACATTATGGTCCATAAAGCACACCTTAACAAATTTAGAATAGAAATTATATAATGCCTGCTCTCAGACCACAGTGGAATTTTACTAGAAACCAATAAAGGAAAGATAACTGGAAAGTCCCAAAATACATGGAGATTAAACATGGATTAGAAAAGAAATTCCAAGATAAATTGAGAAATAATTTTGAACTAAATGAAAATGAAAACACAACTTATCAAAATTTATAGGATGCTGCAATGAGCCAGGATCGTGCCATAAAATAAAATTAATATATCAGAGATGTATGTACTCCATGTCCATTGAAACACCCTTCACAATAGCAAAGTTAACAGAATCAACCTAAGTGTCCATCAGCAGATGAATGGATAAAGAAAATGTGTATGCACTCAATGGAATACTGCTCAGTCTTAAAAAAGAAGTTTTGTCATTTGCAACAATGTAGATGGGCCTGGAGAATATTATGGTAAGTGAAATAAACCAGACACAGGAAGACAAATACTGCATGTCCTCACTTATATGTGGAATCTGAAACAACAGAACTTATAAAGTGGGGAGTAGAATGGTGGTTACTAGAGTCTGGGGTGGTGGGCAGTGGGAGAATGAGGAGAGGAATGTTAGAGGGTACAAAGCCTCAAATAGACAGAAGTAATAACGTTTTTTCCTTTGGGATATATTGCACAGTGCAGTGAGTATAGCAAAAACAGCCTTTATAACAAATGATGCTGGAACAACTGAACGTCCATGTGCAAGAAAATGAATCTAGACACAGACCTTATACTTACCACAAAAACCAACTCAAAATGGATTATAGCTCTAAATATGAAACACAACTATAAAATGACTAGAAGATAACATAGGAGAAAACCTAGATGACCTTGGATATGATGATGACTTTTTAGATACAAACCAAAGGTACAGTCCCTGAAAGAAATAACAGATAAGCTGAACTTCATTAAAATTAAAAACTTCTACAGAAAGCAGGGTCAAGAGAATAAAAAGATAAGTCATAGACTGAGAGAAAATCTTTGAAAAGACACATCTGATAAAAGACTAATCCAAAATATACAAGGAACTCAGAAAACTCAAAATAAGAAAAATATAAAACCTATTTTAAAATGGGCCAAAAACCTTAACAGATACCTCACCAAAGAAGATATACAGATGACAAATAAACATATGAGAAGATGCTCCACATCATATGGCATCAAAGAAATGTAAATTAAAATGACAGTGAGATAACGCCACACCTGTTAGAATGGCCAAAATTCAGAACACTGACAATAAATGCTGAAAAGGATATAGAAACAGCAGGATATGGAGCACCTCTCATTCATTACTGGTGGGAATCAAAATAGTACAACCACCTTGGAAGACAGTTTGGTGATTTCATACAAAGCTAAACATATTCTTACCATGTGATCCAGCAATTGTGCTCGTAGGTATCTACCCAAAGAAGTTGAAAACTTAGTGCACATGGGCATTTATAGCAGCTTTATTCATAATTGCCAAAACTTACAAGCAACCAGTATTTCCTTCAGTAGGTGAATGAATAAATACACTACGGTACATTCAGATGATAGGATATTTTTTAGCATTAAAAAGAAATGAGGGGGCCTGGACATGGTGGGTCACGTGTGTAATCCCAGCACTTTGGGAGGCCAAGGCAGGAGAATCATTTGATCCCAGGAGATCAAGACCAGCCTGGGCAACACAGGGAGACCCTCTCTCTACAAAAATATAAAAAATGAGCCAGGCATGGTGGTGCACACCTGTAGTCCCAGTTACTTGGGAGGCCGAGGTGGGAGGATCACTTGCACTCAGGATGAGGCTGCAGTGAGCTGTGATTTTGCCTAGTTATAGGCTGAGAGGGTGGTGAGTGGTGGTTCTTCTCACTCTGAAGAGATCTCTAGTCATTCTAAAACCCATTCATTTGTCATTACTATATAGAAGAGACAATAAGTAATGGACCTATCCTTTAAGAAAACCTCTCATCAAAGTATGCTTCTTTATTGCAGGTAATTCGTGCCTTTCTGCTCTTTCCAACAATTGAACGAATGTCTGAGTCACCCAATGGCAGAATTGCCACTCCACTTTTGTGCTGGTTTCGATATGTTCTCTATGTTACTGGCTACTTATTATTGAAACCGTGTCCTGAGACAATCAAGTCCTTGCTAATCAGAAGGGGCCTTCAAGTAATGAACCTAGAGAATGAATTTTCACCATTGAATATATTAGAACCATTCTGCCTTGGTAAGCACAGATTTTAAAATGTGTATGTTTATTCTTGTATCACAAAATGTTTACACAATACTCTCTGACAGTGGACAAATATCAAGCAAGCAATTATTTACTAGTTTTTTTTTCCTCTTCCAAAAGTTTAAAACTAGAAATAAATAAAATTAGAAATAGAATGAATTTTTTCATAAGAAATTAGAAAAGCCTCATCAAGCTTTAATTTTACCTTATGTTTCTGATTCTTCACTCTAGCTGCAGCACAGTGAGAAACACTTCTTCCGCATATAGTACATAGTATATATGGAGTCCCTACAGGAATCCTTGGTGTGCCTGTTAGCTTAGTGGGAGTACTTTACGAAAAACAGCACAAGGACACAAAGCCTAATATTCTTGTAGAGTTAACAGGTTGTTTTTATTTTCCTCCTTTAAATGTTTTGGGAGAATTTAAATCATAGAAGTAATAAATATTTGTCATGGTAATGTATTTTAATACTGGGTGCTTTGCTGATTTTTATGAATATGCTAGGAAATGTTTTTGTGACTTTACTTTTTGGCTTCAAAAGTTGTTTTAAAATGTAGTCTATCTTTTTAGATCATACTATTTTATACTACATTTATAAATGACTTTCATAATAAAGTAATCCTAGTTTCTTAATCTATAATGTGGGGATAACAATACTCCGTACTTCAAAAGGTTATTCTAGTGTTAAATGTGATAAAATATCCAAAGCTTCTATCTAGTATTTTATTTATAACCGACCTCCAATGAACGATGTAACAATTAGTTGCAGCAGTAGCTGATGGCACTTTCTAAGCTTTTACCTGTGTTCCTCAAAAGAACTAATAAGGTTTAGTATTGCTATTGTCCCCATTTTAGATGAAGCAACTGAGGTACAAAGAGGTTACATGATTGCCCAAAGTTATACAACTAGTATGTAGTGTTGAAACCCAGGCATTCTGCCACTGTATTGCATTTCCTTTCACCATAGCTGGTGCTGTTGCCCTTGTTAATGATAACAGCAGGACTCCTGAATAAAGTTTTCCATGCTCAGCTGTATTAAGAATGCCATAAGGTCACATGCCTAATGAACTAGAAACAAGTTAACAGCCCTGCCTGTTCAATTGTGCAGCTGCAGTTCATATGGGAGGTGTTTTTCTAAATATGTAACAAGAAGCAGTCCTCAAAAATACAAGGTTCAGTATATTTGTCCTATTGATAGATTTTTTCCCCCTTCCATTTTCCCTCCAATTTCCATTCTTTAATATACCCTTAGCATAGTGGTTTAAAAAGATGAGATAGGAAGAGGGAAAGCAAGGGCTAAGGACAGTCATAGAAATTGCCAGAGGTTGATGTTGGAAATATCCCTTAAAGACCATTTGGTCCAACTCCTCATCTCTCCACCATATTATTAAGGAAAGGGGTCCCGATCCAGACCCTAAGAGAGGGTTCTTGGATCTCGCGCAAGAAAGAATTCAGGGTGAGTCTGCAGTGCAAAGCAAAAGCAAGTTTATTAAGTAAGTAAAGTGGTGAAAGAACAGCTCCTCCATAGACAAAGTAGGATATTCCTGAAAATAAGAGGAGGGATGCACCCACCCTAGGTACAATGCTTATATATATAGGGAGATGTGTTCTGCTACAAGGGTTTGTGATAAAGGATTAATTTTCTTAATTACTGTATTTTGCAAGAATCTATATATTATTATTATTATTATTATTATTATTATTATTATTTTGAGATGGAATCTCACTCTGTTGCCCAGGCTGGAGTGCAGTGGCGCGATCTCGGCTCACTGCAACCTCCGCTTCCCAGGTTCAAGTGATTCTCCTGCCTCAGCCTCCTGAGTAGCTAGGACTACAGGCAAGCACCACTGTGACCAGCTAATTTTTTTATTTTTTTTAGAGACAGAGTTTCACCATGTAGGCCAGGCTGGTCTCAAACTCCTGACCTCGTGATCCGCCCGCCTCAGCCTCCCAAAGTTCTGGGATTACAGGCATGCGCCACCATGTCCGGCCCAAGAATCGATATTTTTATCTTAAAAGCAAAATTAGGAATGCCTTTGTTCTCCAGATATCAGGATATCTGGACACTCCCAAGTCTGAGTCTGTTTTAGTAAACATTATTAATTTGTTCCCTTAACTTTAAACATCTAGAGGCTCGGAATGCCTTACTTTCTGAGAATACAGTCCAGCAAGTTTCAGCCTCATTTTCCTAGCCCACACTCAAAATGAAGTCTCTCTGGTTCACACGCCTCTGAAAATATTATGGAACAGATGCCTACTGGTGAAAATAGTACTGACAGGAAGTCACAAACCCTCAACTCTCATTTTGGTTCTGCCCTAGAGTCACTCTGTGGCTTTTGTTTAGTTACTTCCCCTCGTTGGTTTTCAGTTGTTGACTAAATCAAGAGTTAGGGCCAGTCTACCTTTGGAAATTACTTGAGACCCAATGGAATCAACATTTGAAATTCTGGCAAATATATGTAAAACTCTCCACATATACTTTGATAAGATCATTTTACGTCTCTTTACAGGTTTGTTTGTCTCTCCCAGCCCCTTGTTGCTTTTTGTCATTTTCTTTTTGCCTTGTAGAATGTATTTTATAAAGCATTCTTCAGTTATGGATTCCATTTTCCTCCTGGGACTTCTGCTTCCAGGAAGATAGAGTAAATGGACTTTCCACTATTTCTCCTGCTAAGTACTAAAAACCATGGATATTATCTATAAAACAACATCAAGAAGACTATACAAGGTAGAGAATAGAAAGCAGGCTATGTAGGGACTTTGGGACCCAAGGAACAAACACAGTGGTGAGTTCTCTGGGTTTTCTTTTTACCACATATATCCTAGATTTGGAGCCAGCAACCCAGAAACACCAAAGAGTAGAGACTTTTAAAGGTCCTAACAAAAGCCTACTCTCTCTAGCCCAAAGACCAGGAAAGGAGCAATGTTTTATAGAGTAGGAAAAAATAGTCTTCTCCCTACTTTGTATAGTTCTTACTTGGGGCAGATCTTTGTTACAAAAGACAGATTAACAAGAAAAATGTATAAATTTATTAACATTTATATTTCATATGTACATGGGAGATACCCAGAGAAATGAGTAAATCTCAAAGAGGTGGCTTCTGAGTTCAGACTTAAATACCATCTTGAACTAAAACAAAGAAAAGAGGTCAGTAATGGGAGGTGACCAAGAAAAGCACTGCACACAAGACAAGTTTGTTGTGCAGATTTAAGTTAGTGCCCTTTGCGTTGATAATAGAGTCCATGGTGATTTAGAATCATCCTTCATGGTACAGAGAGGAAAACACCCATACAAATGGAAATGTCCTTTATAGATGTCAATTTCCCTTTAAAAAGGGAACTTCTCCATTTTTAGAGCTTCTCCTGTGTCTTCAGTTTCTCAAAATACTCAGTTTAAAATAATCCTTTTGCCCAAGACACATCTTTAGGGATGGTATATTTTGGTCCCCTACAGTCATTTTGCAGCAGTGTATTCTGGTTTTCAATACTTTCTTTCTTTATTATTATTATTATATATTTTTTGAGACAGAGTCTCACTCTGCCACCCAGGCTAGGGTGCAGTGGCTCAATCTCAGCTCACTGCAACCTCCGCCTCCTGGGTTCAAGCAATTCTCCTGCCTCAGTCTCCCAAGTAGTTGGAACTACAGGTGCCTGCCACGACTCCCAGCTAATTTTTGTATTTTTAGTAGAGATGGGGTTTCACCATATTGGCCAGGCTGGTCTCAACCTCCTAACCTCAGGTGATCCACCTGCCTTGGCCTCCCAAAATGCTGGGATTACAGGCGTGAGCCACCGCACCTGGCCTCTGGTCTTTAATACTTTCTAAAAGAAACATTTAGACAGTAACTGCTCTACTCTACTCCAGCCATTTCCAGTCATGCCTGCAAAGATTGAGTGGACTTTACCCTCTCCCCAGCAGTAATGAAGCACCCCCTCTCTTTCCCTGCTCTACGGTACTGTCCCAGAAGAGGCTGAGTAGAGAGCGAAGACTTTCATCACTGCCCTGCAGTAATGGGGCCACCATCACCACTACCCCCATATTATCAGTAAAGGTCATGTGGGGAGAAGTAGCAAGGGACTCACCACTTGTCCCAGCCAAGATGGTAACAGTGGAAGCCTAGTACAGAGTCAGAATTCCTTCCCCTACCCAGCAGCTATGAGGAGCCCCTTCATCCCTTGGGTGTCAACAGAAGTCAAATGGGTAACTTAGACTCTACCCTACGTGGCCATAGTGAAAAAAACATCTAAAACATAAAGTTTAAGTAAGATCCAGAATCTCATAACATAATACTCAAACTGTCCATGTTTTAGTTGCAAATCACTTGTCTAACAAAATCTCAACTTGACTGGAAAAAAAAAATCAATGCCAACACCAAAATGACAGAGATATTAGAATTATCTGACAATAACTTTAAAGCAGCCACTATAAAAATTATTTAATGATCAATTAATAAACATGTTTGAAACTAATGAGAAGATAGAAAATCTTAGGAAAGAGAAGATTAAAAAAAAACTGAGTGGAAATTTTAGAACAAATTTAAAATCTCAATGGATGGAACCAACAATAAAATGAGGAGACAAAGAGGAAAGAATCAGTGAATATGAGATTAGATTAATAGAAATTATCCAATAGAGAGAAAATAGACTAAAAAGGGGAAAAAAAGGAACAGAACCTCAGGGACCTGTTGGACTACAACGAAAGATCTAACATTTGTGATAACACTAGTCCTAGAAATAGAGAGTAGGTCTGGAAAAGTGTTCAAAGAAATAATGGTCAAAAACTCCCAAATTTTGCAAAAGATATGAATTTACAGATTCAAGAAGCTGAGTGAATTTAAAACAGAATAAACCCAAAGAAATCTATACTAAAACACCATAACCAAGCTTTTGAAAACTAAAACAAAGAAAATGTCTTGAAAGCAGCCAGAAGAGCAAAGCGGTACATTATTCATGGAAGAAAGTCTGTTTGAAGGACAGCTAGTTTTTCATCAGAATCCATGGAGACCCAAAGGAAAATGACAAAATGCAAAATGAAAATAACTATTAATCCAAAATTCTGTATCTAGCAAAAGTGTCTTTCAGGAAAGAAGGGGAAATTTAACATTCTCAAATGTTGAAAAACTAAAAGAACTTGTCAACATTAGATCTATCCTAAAAGAATAACTGCAGGAAGTTCTCTCAACAGAGAGGAAATGATAAAAGAAGGAATCTGGGAATGTCAAAAAGAAAGAACAGTGAACAAGTTAAAATGTGGACAAATGCAACTTTCTTCTTCTCTTGAGATTTCTAAATTATGTTTAACAGTTAAAGCAAAAATTATAGCACTGTCTCTTATGGTTCTAAACATACACAGAGGAAATATTTAGGGAACGATTTTATAAATGGGGGAGGGTACAGGGACATAATGGCAAGTAAGGTTTCTACACTTTACTTGAACTGTAAGATGTAACCATATGTACATAGTAATAAGTCATGTATATATGTAATGTAGTACCTAGAACAGCCATTTCAAATGCTATTCAAAAGAGATACTCAAAATCACCATGGATAGATGAAGATGGAATTCTATATTTAGAAACACATTGATTGGAAGACCAGAAAAAGAACTCAGAGACATGACAGAGAACAAACAGAAAACAAATAATAAAATGATCATCCATGATTATATTGAATGTAAATCTAAATATACAATTAAAAGAAATTGGCAGGGTAGATTAGAAAACATGACTCAATTGTATGCTGTCCTCAAGTCTTAGTTTAAATATAACAATATAAGTAGGTTGAAAGCAAAAGGATGAGAAAAGATACATTATGCAAACATTTATAAGCAAAGGAAACCAGGAATAGCTTTATTAATATCAGATAAAGTAGATTTCAGTGCAAAGAAAATTACCTAATAGACATTTGTAGAACACTTCACCCAAAACAGAATTGATATCAACATGTTGATATCATTGAAACCATACAGAGTATGTTCAGTGACCACAGTGGAATCAAACTAGAAATCAGCAACAGAATAACAAAAGTTAGATCTTTAAATACTTGGAAAGTAAACCGCACACTTCTAAACAACTCATGAGTCAAAAATGGAAATTACAAAGAAATTCAAATAATACTACATGTAATTAATAAAACTATAGCTCACAACTGTAATCCTAGCACTTTGGGAGTCTGAGATGGAAGGATCGCTTGAGCCCAGGAGTTCTAGACCAGCCAGGGCAACACAGTGAGGCCCTGTCTCTATAAAAAATTTAAAAATTGGCCAGGCACTGTGGCTCATGCATGTAATCCCAGCACTTTGAGAGGCTAAGGTAGGCAGATCACTTGAGTCCAGGAGTTCAAGACCAGCCTGGGCAACATGATGAAACCCCATCTCTACTAAAAATACAAAAATTAGCTGGGCATGGTGTCGCACACCTGTAACAGGTCCTAGCTAGTTGGGGGACTGAGGCAGGAGGATCCCTTGAGCCTGGGAAGTCAAGGCTGCAGTGAGCCGAGATCGTGACACTGCACTCCAGCCTGGGAGACGAAGTAAGATCCTGTCTCAAAAAAAAAAAAAAAAAAAATAGCCAGGCATGGAGGTATAGCCTGTAGTCTCAGCTTCTTTGGGCAGGCTAAGATGGAAGGATCACTTGAGCCCAGGAGGCCAAGGCTGCGGTAAGCCATGATCATGCCACTGAACTCCAGCCTGGGTGACAGAGTGAAAGCATCTCAAAAAAAAATAAAATTATTAATAATTAATAATAAAACTGAATCAAAATGAAAATACAGCATATTAAAATTTGTGGGACACAGCTAAAACAGTGATGAGACAAAAATGTATGCTGGTGTCAGAAATGATTACATTAGAAAAGAAGAAAAGTCCTAGTAACCTAAGCTTCAACCTGAAGAACCTAGAAAAAGAAGAGCAAAATAAACCCAAAAGGAGGAAAAGGAAAGAAATAACAAGAATAGAAATTAGGGTTAGGAGCAGTGGCTCACATCTTGAATGCCAGCACTTTGGAAGGCTGAGGCAGAAGGTTTGCTTAAGGCCAGGAGTTTGAGACCAGCCTAGGCGACATAGTGAGACCCTGTCTCTACAAAAAAAATTGAAAACAAAAACAATAGAGAAAATCAATGGAAGAAGAAAGTGGCTACTTTGAAAGAGTAATAAAATTGACAAACCCCTAGCAAGACTGACAAAGAAAAAACAGCTGAAGACACAAATTACCAATATCAGAAATGAAATAGAAAATATCACCATAGAGCCTGCACCCATCAAAAGGATAATAAAGGCTACTGTGAACAACTCTACACATATAAATTTGACAACTGGAATGAAATAAACCAATTCTTCAAATGTGGACACACTACCACAATTCATCCAAGATGAAATAGACCATTTGAAGAGCCTTATAACTTTGAAGGAAACTCAATTTGTAATTTTAAAACTTCCAAAAAAAGACATTTAGAGGCTCAGATGATTTCACTGAAGAACTATACCTAATGTTTAAAGAAATACTAACACAATTCTACCTATTTTTTAAATAGAAAATAGGAGGGAACACATCCCAATTCACTTTTTGAAGCTAGTATTATCTAATATCAAAACCAGAGAAAAATAATACAAAAAAAGAAGAAACTACAGGCCAGTATCCCCTATGAGTATAGAGACAAACATCTCTAATAAAATATTAGCAAACAGAATTCAGCAATATATAAAAAGAATTATATACTATTCTATTACCAAATGTGATTTATTCCAGGGATGCAAGGCTAGTATGATATTCAAAAATCCATTAATATAATCTAACATATTAACAGGCTAAAGAAGATAAACCACATGATTCTATCAACCGATGCAGGGAAAAAAAAATATTTTGAATGCTTTTCTTCTAAGACTAGAAACAAGACAAAGATGTCTGCTCTCAGCACTCTTATTCAACATAGTGCTGGACGTTCTAGTCAGTCCAGTAAGGTAAGGCAAGGAAATAAAAGATATACAGATCAGAAGAGAAGAAATTAATCTCGTTTGTAGATGGCATGATTGTCTGTAGAGAAAATCCCAAGGATGGTTCTGCGGCTCTGCCAGGGAATAAAAATATATCAAATGATTAAAAAAAAAAAAACTAAAAGAAAAAAATGACAATCCCAAGGAATCTACCAAAAACAAACTTTGAGAATTAATACAAGTTCAACAATGTCACAGGATACAGGATAAGCACAAAAGTCAATATTATTTGCATACACTAGCAATAGAAACCAAAATTTAAAATATAATGTACATTTTTAGCCAGTCGGAAAAATTAAATTGTTAGGCATAAATTTAGAAAAACATATACATAATTATATGCTGAAAATGATGACTATTAATAAAGAAATGAAAGAAGACCTAAGTAAATGGAGAGACATACTGTGTTCATGGATTGGAAGACTCAACATAGTAAACATGTATTAATGCACTCTCACACTGGGTAATTTATAAAGAAAAGAGGTTTAATTGGCTCACAGTTCCATAGGCTGTACAGGAAGAGGCATCCACTTCTGCGGACGCCTCAAGTAGCTTTTACTTATGGCAGAAGGCAAAGTGGGAGCAGGCGTCTAACATGGGAGGAGCGGGACTGAGAAAGACAAGTGGGAGAGGTGCCACACACTTTAAACAACCAGATCTTGAGATAACTCCATCATTATTTCTATAACAGCACCAAGGGGGATGGTGTTAAGTCATGAGAAACCATCCCCATGATTCAGTTACCTCTCACCAGGTCCCACCTCCAACATTGGGGATTACATTGAGGACATGAGATTTGGGTGAGGACACAAATCCAAACCATATCAGATGTCAATTCTTCCTAAATTGATATGCATATTAAACATAGTTGCTATCAAAATCCGAGCAAGATTTTTTTGTAGCTATCGACATGATTATTCTAAAATGTATTTGGAAAGGCAAAGGAATAAGAATTACTAAGACAGTTTTGTAAAAGAAGAATAAAGTGGAAGGAGTGAGTCTGTCTGGTTGCAAGATTTATTATGTAGCTACAGTAATCAAAACTTTGTGATATTGATAAAGGGATTAATACATAAATCAATGGAACAGAGAAGAGAACCTAGAAATAGACCCACACAAGTGTGCCCAACTGATTTTTGACAAGAGGGCAAAAGCAATTTGATAAAAGAGGAATTGCCATTTCAACAATGTTGCTGGAGCACTTGGCTCTTCTTAGGCCAAAAGAAAAAAAGAAGAAGGAGAAGGAGAAGGAGAGAAGAAGAAAGGAAGGAAGGAAATGAACCTCAACCTAAACTGTAAACCTTACACCTTATAAAAAGGTTAACTCTAAATGAGCCATGAATTTTAATATAAATCTTAAAACTACAATCCTTTTAGAAAAAAAGAATAAAATATTCAGGATCAGGATCTAGGACTAGGCAAAGACTAGCTGGGTGTGATCACAGTGAGATATCATTACACACCTATCAGAATGGCTAAAATAAAAAAAATCAGCAACCATAAATGCTGGTAAGGATGCAGAGAAACTGGATCACTCATACATTGCTGCTGATAATGTAAAATGGTGCACCCACTCTGGAAAGCAGTTTGACAGTTAAAAACCTAAACACGCAGCTACCCTATGACCCAGCAGTTAACACTCCTAGGCATTCATCCCTGATATGTGAAAACTGGTGTTCAGAGAAAAACCTGTATATGAATGTTTATTGTAGTTTTATTCATAATAGCCAAAAACTGGAAACAACCCAGAGGTATTTTCAATGGGTAAATTATTAAACAAACTGTGGTAAAGCCATACCATGGAATTCTACTTGATAATAAAAAGGAACAGACTTTTAATACACACAGCAACCTGTGTCCATCTCCAGAGAATTATGCTCAGTGAAAAAAAGCAACCCTTAAGGTTTACATACTGCGTGATTCCATTTATATAGCATTCTTGAAGTGATAACATTATAGAAATGAAGAACAGATTAGTGGTTGCCAGGGGTTAAAAATTAAAGATGAAAATTTAGCTAGGCATGGTGGCACACACCTGTAGTCCTGGCTACTTGGGAGGTTGAGGCAGGAGGATCGCTTGAGCCTAGGAGTTCAAGGTTACAGCGAGCTGTGATTGCACCACTGCACTTCGGCCTGGGCAACAGAGGAAGACCCTGTCTCTTTAAAAAATACATACATACATATCCTGGCTGTAACATTATACTGTGGTTTTGCAAGATATTACCATGGGAGAAACTGGGTAAAAGGTACATGGATTTCTCTATATTATTTGTTACACCTGCATGTAAATCTACAACTATCTTAAAATAAAAGTTGAATTAAAAACAAAAAGCATTCTCCAGCTAGGGATACCACTTTCCTCCCTGGGATAGGTGTTCCCCTCATCCTGACGGCCTGAATTAGGAGCTCCTTGTCCTTGAGACATTGAGAAGGTTGAGGACCCAGAGTCCCAGGGCTGAGGACACCATTAGATATGCAGCTGTACTTATGCCTCTTTAGAAATATTTTCTAAACTCAAATCAGGACATGGGATATAAATTTTATACATTTTTTAAATTTATATATGAAAAGTCTAGCTATGACAAATTATTCTTAACGGTATATTTACTAAATACATAATATGTCACATATAACATATAATCAAGTGCTTAATGTTTTTAATTAAAACAGGAAATTATGTAAAGGTATTTTCCACTTTTTCTGCATCAGAGTTATATACACTTCAGGAGAAGTAGGCTCCAAAAGCTGCACTTGAAAGAAAGGACTCTTCCTTTTAATTGCAATAATTGACCTCCTACTGCATCTTCCAGGAGACTGAAGTTTAGGCAGCAGGGAGCAAGACAGTTTAGGCATAAGACATATTTCCCTCCCCAATCCAAGGCAACCAGAGTTTTATACTACATTGTTGCTTGAAGAACCCTGGGCTTCCTTTCTCACACAACCCTGATATATGAAATACATTTTGTAAATCAGACTGAACATTCAGCTACATGTCTTCATCTCTGTTCTAAATAACAAACTAGCAAACAAATTTTTGGAGCACAGTCCTCCTATTTCTTACATCCTTTCCTTTTCTGATCTTTTAATCCCTTGGCTCTAATCTGGCCTTCTGATAGCCAAATAACTACTACTTCAGTGGTCTCTGATTTTTTTTTTTCCCCATAACCTACCCAGTGTGTGTAACCTTGGGTAAAGGAAAATGAGGCAGTAGTTAGTTACCTGTCTTCTTTCTTCTTTGGGTTATTGGTTCATTCCCTGCTTGGGTTCATAGTTCACTTCCTAGTAGCCAGCCTCTTCCCTCTAGATCCCCAGTGCCACCCCTGCCTCCTCTTGCAATAACCCTCACAGAAGCTGCCTTCGCCCAGGCTTGCCCTTACCATCACTATGGTGATTCCTAGTACCTTGCTTCCCACAAAGAGAAAGTCCCAACTGAGAGAGCAACACTCAACAGAAGACTTTGGGAGATGATCAGTGGGCTCTGCTAGAGTTTATACTCCATGAATAGTGGACATAACTAATGTTCATACCAGCTACTTGCATCGGCATAATTTTCATGGTTACACAAAGAGAGGGGTTATCAAGGGAAAAGAAGATCAGGTCAGAGATCATTCCCAGCTGGGAATCTGGTCCAGCTGGATATTTCCCCCTGGCCCCCACAGACCTGTTTCTCTGTGGCTTGACTATCATCCAGACAACGACCTTTTAACCTGCCAGCATGCCTTTTAGGAGGCTTTGCAGTGTTTGCAGATTATGTAATGTCTGTGCTTCAGTAGAAATCTTACGGAAACAAATGGAGGAAGTTTGCTAGTCCAAGCAGTGGATAATAAATCCTGCCCTATCTAGATAGAAACTGGTTTTCTGTATCCTTTAGTTTATACACACATTTTTGTTGTTGTTGTTGTAAGCTCTGAAAAATTCTAGGAACCAAAATATTCAAATATTTCAAATCCTGCTGCCCTTTTGGCAAAGATGGCACATCCTTTCCTGTAGGCTTGAGTTCTGGGGCATTAGCGTTCTTCTCTAGTATGAGTGAGTGAAATGTCATTTCCTATCCAGCATTCAGAGAAGAGTAGCCCTACATCAGTTAGTGTACATTATAAACTTTACCACAGTGTTCATCAATGTCATTTTGTTAACTAGGTTATTTTAAATGTTATTTTTAAAGAACATATATGGATTTTTTCTTCAGTTTTAATTCTGGAATGTTTGCTACTCTGTATTTTCTTTAGATGTTCTTCCACTTCATGAAAAATAGGCTTTTCACTGAGACAGCTAAGTTGATTTTCTGATCAAAGCTAAAAGAAAATACGTCTTAGTTCAGCAGTATAGCAAGTCAAAATAATTAACTTTAAAAAATATTCTAGGGTCTTTTCGTTAGTTAGGCCAAATTGATATTTTATTTCCTTTCAGTTACCTAACTAGAAAAACATAGCACAGAGACATAGGGAATTTCTGGTAGATTACATTACTTTGTTGAATATATTCTTGTAAAATAAATTTTCATAATTTTTTCTTCCCTTAATATGGAATTAGCTTTTTAAGATATAAAATGAACTATTAAATGAGATGACAACATAAGCATTTGCATCACTAAAGAATCATAAATTTCTTCTAGAATATTTTTAACTCAATCCCAGAATAATTTTTGAGTAAGACGAAACCAGACTCTCATGTTACCTTACCTATTCTCTCATTTATCTGAGCAGCTTATGAAAATATGTTTATAAAACCCAACTGTGGCTTTTATTTATTTATTTATATTAGAGACAGGGTCTTGCTATGTTGGCCAAGCTAGTCTCAAACTCCAGGCCTCAAGCAGTCCTCGACCTTGGCCTCCCACAGTGCTGAGATTACAGGTGTGAGCCGTCATGCCCGGCCCCAGCTGCAGCTTTTAATGATTCATGCAAGTATAACCTAAAATTCAGGAATGAAGGAAAAGGTTTTTTTGTTTGTTTTTGTTTTTGTTTTTCGGTCAGTGTTAGGATTTAGGACAAGAGGTGATTAGTGTGGTACTAGGATATAATCTCTGGTTTAGAAGTTAATAGCGCAATGAATATCTTATTTTTTCTAAAGAAATTTTTATATTTCAAAATTAACGCCAGTCTAAAAAGTTGCATTATTTTTTAAAATCATACAACACCTCCAGTTGTTTTTCACTTTGGTGAACTCAGTGTCGCTTAGGTAAGATTATCTGTTTGCAGACTAAATTGATTATCGTAATGACCACAGTCCTGGCTTATAGAGAAATACATAATAAACTATGTTGACTACGAAACATTTCTCCAAATTATGCAGAAAGTTTAGAATGGGAGAATTATTTTTTTAGGTCTAGTTTTCACTTTGTTGCAACTTGGCACCATTGGAAAGGTGGAAAACAACCTGGAAATAAATAAATAACCGCTGAAGAATTTTCCCTTGGAAGAAGGTTTCATCTGGGTTTCTAAGACTATCTGGTCCTACTTAACCTTTTGACAAACCCTGCTGGTATAGCCTTTCTGAGTACCCAGCCTTACTCTGCCTACAGCTGTGTTGGCATGTGGGGCTGCTCATGTCTCCAGAATCTTCTAGTCTTGCAGCTCGTCCTCAACCCTAAATTTTGTTCCCACACAGCCCTGCTTGACTTGAACCTTCCTAACTTCCCTACACTCAGCACATCTTGCCAGCCTCAGGAATAGTCAGAATATGTGCTAGGAGGAGCTTTCCTGTGAAAGGCTCTTTTTCAGTCAGCTCCTACCCTGCCTCCTCTCAGGCAAGCCCTGGATATGTGCAGATGCCACTTTCTCCCCCACTCAAGTACCAGAGCCTGATAGGCAGTTAAGCACATCAGCCCTTGTGCTGTGACCAAAAACACCCAGAATATTCAAAGGCCCTATTTCTATTCACTTTTATCATCTGGGATTGAGTTTGACTATAGATAACAGAAAACCAAATTACAGTGGCCTAAACAGATAGGGATCTATTTTTCTCATGTGCCAAGAAATCCAGGCATAGGCAGTCCAGAGGTAAATAACATCTCAACAGTGCCATCTGGGACATGGGTCGTATGTTTCTACTCTGTTGTCCTTTGCACATCACATAAACCTTTATCCTTGTGGTCATCATCTCATGGTCACGTCATGGCTCCTGCAACTCTAGACCTCATGTCTAACATTCAGCCAGAAAGAAAGGGAAAGGGGAGAAAGGCAAAAGGCCTACTCCTGATTAGGCTTTGGCTTATTTAAAAAGAGAATGTCCTCCCTAGGAACTTTTAGATTAGTAGCCAAAATATCCCTTACTCTGAGGAATAGAGAAAAGCCATATGTTTTGATTTCCCCATGACTCAGTAGAGTCAATCAAGGGAAATGAAAATTTTTGTTGGCTTTTAGGTAGTTACATTGCGTCTACTACATCCACACTGCAAGATGGTCTTGAGATTCAACATCCATGGACTTAATCTCAGAATAGCCCACCTACCAAACACTGAGGTAAGACAGTCAGTCCACCAGAACTAAAATCCATCGTTGCCATGTTCCTGCAGAATGCCTTCAGGCGTTGTAACCCTTGGCAAGATAAGCTCACAGTGAGGTCTACCGTTTATTTCTTAATTGTGACAGGTCTTCTTCAAATCTTGTCTAAATAAGTACCCATCCACAGTAGAGCTCATCTCAGCTCCCAAGATTATTGTATTTTTTATTTTAAAGGGAGTTTTAAAATGTTTGGCATTTCATCGGTATTAATGGGCTTACTAATGATTATTCTCCTCAGCCACCCCCCATCATGGTGCTGAATCTACCAAAGCCTTTTCCTAACCTGTCAAACCTTTTCATGAGTACTTTAAGAAAGTGATTTTTCCTTGTAAACGTGGTGGTATATTTTGGACATGTAGAATCTGTCAGACCTTTTAAATAAGATCAAAGTGACTAGAAGTAGTATCTCAGTCACCATAGACCAAGAGTAAAACTCACATATATATTGCGGTATATACACCCACAATGGTTGATTTCCTACCTCCCAAATTCACCTGTCATAATGAAACCATGCCCATCTCCTGTAATTCCCCTTGCTTCAGTACCAACAAGTCCCTCTCCTCAATAATGGCAAAGCCAAACAAACTGGGGCATTCTAATATGAATCATACTAGTGGTACTAGGCTACGTACCACCAAAACAGCAGCACAACTTGGCTTGCCACCTTGCAGTTCTACTTTAGAAAACTATTTATGCATCACCTTCCATTTTATGATTAGTTGTGGTTTAAATTGCCTCTACATTGTCTCTGGCTCTTATAACTAGTGTGTATGTGGCCTAGTTTCTGACTAGTCCCAACAGGGGCTGTTAGACTTGTACTCTGGCCTTCAGTTATTCATCTCACTTTTATACCAGTACCTGCCAGCTTGGCTTACCAGTGTCAGTGTGCTTCAGCCTCTAGTTCTGGCCTCCATCATGATGTCAGCTCTTGGACCACTTCCTCCCCACCCCGCTTTCCAAAGCACTAGCTGAGTAACCTTCTCTGTCAGTCTCTTCCCATTTATTTCACTTAACAACCCTTCCTTACTGATACCTGCTGTGAGCTAACTGTTCAGATAAGCACTGGAGAGAATAATGAATGAAATATAGTTCCTGCCCTTAAGTTACTTACAGTGGGATAGAAGAGAAAAAATATGAAGAATTTTAATATATCATAGGGCTATCATAAATCAGATACAAGGTATGAATGGTAATGAGAAAGGAGAGATCAGTTCTATTAATACCTAGGTAAGTAACAGAGGAGAAGATGAATGAATTTGGACTTGAAGGTGAGTTGGGATTTTTCCAGACAGACAAAATGGCACCAGGATAGGCAATTAGAAGGCAGCCTTCTGTTATGGATTATGTGTACTTGGAGAATTGGGTGATAACATTTGACCTGTGAGATGAATGCCCTATTGGTCTTCCAGCTTTAGCCCTCACTCGGCTATTTCAAACCTTTTAGCCAGCATAAGTTAAAGTTGTATAGTAATTTTTGGACATTAAGCAAATCTTAGAAAATAATGTTAGTAAATAACATTAGACTCTTCAATTAGTCTTTTTTATACCTGTGTTTAATGGAGCAAAAGTAAAGAATTAACATTCTTCCAAATCATTCTCTTTCCTTCATGTTTTTGTTTCCATTACTACTGCTACTAGACATTTCCTTCACTGTAGTGCTTGAAATTCTGAGTTCTGCTGGATTTCCAGGAATGCTGTTGACAGTCATTGCCAAGAGAAATGTGTTTTCCACTTAGGAAATTACACTTCTATTTGGTATTATTATTTCTGACCACTATGTTGTATTATGAGCATTTCTGAGGAATGACAAAGATGGCTTCCTTGGAGCAATTACTGGAAAAGAAGCTGGTGTTCTATTAAAAAAAATATATGCTTAGATAGGAAATTACCAAGAAATAAATAAGGGTAGGAATAAAGGTGGGATGGAGTACATTCCCTGATGAAAAAATTTACTTTCAGAAAATAGGACTCCTTACAAATTATTTGAATTTTTAAGTTTTTTTTTAATTTAAGAATGACAAAAAAGTACTTAAAACATAAATGTGTCCCTTCATGAATTATCACAAAACAAACTTCTATTAACTGCCACCCACTCAAGAATCACCATTGCCCGAGTCTCAGAAGACCCCCTTATGCTTCTGCCCATCTCACTTACTCCATTTTCCCAAATGTAACTACTACTAACATCTAGATGTACCTGGTTTTGGACTTTAAATAACTGGAATTGTATAATGTATACTTGTTTGTGTCTGACTTCTCTCAGTCAACATTGTATGTTGCAACTTTAATTATTTCATTTTTATTACTAAATACTTTTCCACTGGATGAATGCACTACAGTGTATTTATTTATTCTATGATTGATGAATACTTGGGTTGTTTCCAATGTGGTACTACTAAAAATAATACTGTCAAGAGCATTTTTATGCTTGCCTTTCAGTGAACTTATGCACATATTTCTCTTGGGTCCATCCAGAGAGGAAATGCAGAGGTCATATGGTATGCATATGTTTAGCTTCAGAAGACAATACTAAATGGTTTCCAAAGTGGTTGTACCAATGTGTACTCCCACCAGCAATATATGAGTTTATGTTGCTTCATTTGCTCACCAACACTTGGTATTGTCTGTATTTTTTGTTTTTGCTATGTTTTGTAATTTGGGTCAATCTAGTAGGTATATAGTGCCATCTGATGGTGTTAAGGTTTTCTAAAAAATATTTTGAGATTGTTCTTTTTCTTTGATTACATAATAGTTGTACATATTTTAGGGTACATGTGACATTCGAATACCTGTATACACTGTGTTATGATCAGATTAGGGTAAATGGGGTATCCATCTCTTCAAATATTTATCTTTGTTTTAAGAACATTACAATTCTTCTCTTCTAGCTATTTTGAAATATACAATTACTATAATTTTCCCACTGCATTATCAAATACAGGAACTTATTTCTTATATCTGATTCTGTTTTTGTACCCCTTAACCAATTTCTCTCATCTGTTCCACCCCGCTTCCTTTCTAAGCCTCTGGTAGTGACCATTCTACTGTCTACCCCTGTGAGATTCACTTTTTTTTTTTTTTTTTTTTTTTGAGACAGTTTCATTCTGTCGCCCAGGCTGGAGTACAGTGGCGCAATCTCGGCTCACTGCAAACTCTGCCTCCCGGGTTTAAGCAATTCTCCTCTCTCCCACCTTCCCCCGCCAGTAGCCAGGATTGCAGGCGCACACCACCACGCTCGGCTAATTTTTGCATTTTTAGTAGAGACGGTTTCACCATGTTGGCCAGGCTGGTCTCGAACTCCTGACCTCAGGTGATCCGCCCGCCTAGGCCTCCCAAAGTGCTGGGATTACAGGCGTGAGCCACTGTGCCCAGCCGTAAGATTCACTTTTTAGCTCCCACATAGGAATGAGAACATGCAATATTTGTCTTTCTGTGCCTGGTTTTCACTTAACATAATAACCTCCAATCCCATCCATTTTTCTGCAAATGACAGGATTTCATTCTTTTTATGGCTGAATAATATTCCATTATGTGTATATACCACATTTTCTTTATCCATTCACCAACTGATGGACACTTAGATTCATTAGTATCTTGGGTACTGTGAACAGTGCTGCAATAAACATGGGAATGCAGATACCTCTTTGATACACTGATTTCCTTTCTTTTGGATATAGACCTATCAGTGGGATTGCTGAACTGAACTATGTGGTAGTTCTAGTTTTAGTTTTTTGGGAAAACTCTAAA
The DNA here is from genome assembly GCF_000001405.40 of Homo sapiens. NCBI lineage: Eukaryota > Metazoa > Chordata > Mammalia > Primates > Hominidae > Homo > Homo sapiens. The sequence continues at coordinate 20,721,720 of NC_000002.12, read as the reverse complement.
CTGTTTTCCATAATGGCTATACTACTTTACATTCCCAACAGTTTACAGGTATTCCCCTTTCTCTGCATCCTCACCAGCATTTGTTATTTTTTGTCTTTTTCTTGATAGCCACTCTAACTGGAGTGAGATGACACCTAATTGTGGGGTTTTTTTTTTGTTTGTTGGTTTGTTTTTAATGTTTTATTTCCATAGATTTTGGGGAACAGGTGGTATTTGGTTACACGAGTAAGTTCTTTAGTGGTGATTTGTGAGATTTTGGTCCACCCATCACCCAAGCAGTATATAGTGAACTTAATTTGTAGTCTTGGTTTTGATTTGCATTTTCCTGATAGTGATGCTGAGCATTTTTTATGTACTTGTTGGCCATTTGTATGTCTTCCTTTGAGAAATTTCTATTCAGGTCTTTGGTCCATGTTTTATTCAGATTATTTGTCATCATGCTATTGAGTTGTTTGAGTTCCCTAAATATCCTGGTTATTAATCCCTTGTTAGATGGATAGTTTGCAAATATTTTCTCCCATGCTGTAGACTGTTTCTTCACTTTGTTGATTGTTTACTTTTCTATGTGTAGCTTTTTAGCTTGGTGTAATCCCATTTGTCTATTTTTCGCTTTTGTTGCCTGTGTTTTTGAGGTCTTACCCGAAAAAAATCTTTCCCCAGACCAATGTCCTGTAGCATTCCCCCTAATGTTTTCTTTTAGTAGTTTCATGTCCTATTAAAGTCTTTAATCCATTTGAGTTGATTTTTGTATATGGTAAAAGATAGGATCGATCTAGCTTCATTCTTCTGCATATGGATATCTAGTTTCAATAATGTTTATTAGAGAGACTATCCTTTCCCCAATGTGTGTTCTTAGTGCCTTTGTTGAAAACAAGTTGGCTGTAAGTATACTGATTTATTTCTGAGTTCTCTATTACATTCCATTGGTCTGTGTCTGCTTTTATGCCAGTATCATGTTGATTTAATTACTATAGCTTTGTAGCATGATTTAAAGTCAGGTAGTATGATGCTTCCAGCTTTGTTTTTTTGTTTTTGTTTTTTCCTTTCCTTAGGATTCCTTAGCAATTCGGCGTCTTTTGGGATTCCATACAAATTTTAGGATTGTTTTCTCCATTTCTGTGAAGCATGTCATTAGTATTTTGAGAGAGATTGCATTGAATCTGTAGATTGCTTTGGGTCATATAACATTTCAATGATATTAACCCTTCCAATCCATGAGCATGGGATATCTTTTCCTTTGTGTGTGTGTCCTTTCCATTTCTTTCATCAGTGTTTTATAGTTTTCCTTATAAAGAAAAACTTGTTTTGTTAAATTCACTTCTTTTGTTAAATTTATTCCTAGGTATTTTTTAGTAGCTATTGTAAATAGGATTGCTTTCTTGATTACTTTTTCAGATTGATCACTGTAAACGTATATAAACACTGCTGATTTTTGTATGTTGATTTTGTATCCTGCAACTTTACTATCTTTATTTATCAGTTCTGAGAGTTTTTTGATGGAGTCTTTAGGTTTTACTAAATAAAAGATCATGTCATCTGCAAACAAGGTTAATTTGACTTCTTCCTTTCCAATTTGGATACTCTTTGTTTCTTTCTCTTGCCTAATTGCTCTATCTAGGACTTCTAATACTATGTTGAGTTGAAGTGGTGAAAATGGGCATCTTGTCTTGTTAGATGTTAGTGGAAATACTTTGTTCACTGTTCAGTGTGATATTAGCTGTGAGTCTGTCATATATTGCCCTTATGGTATTGAGGTATGTTTTTTCTATACCCCGTTTGTTGAGAGTTTTTATTATGGAGGGATGTTGAATTTTATCAAACACTTTTCCAGCATGTATTGAAACAATCATATGGTTTCTGTTCTTGATTCTATTGATGTGATGTATCATGTTTATTGATTTGTGTATGCTGAACCATCCTTGCCTCCCTGGGCTGAATTCCACATGATCATGGTGATCTTTTCAATGTGTTACTGAATTCAGTTTGCTAGTATTTTGTTGAGGATTTTTGCATTTATGCTCATCAGTTATATTGGCCTGTGGTTTTCTGTTATATTCTTGTCTGGTCTTGGTATCATGGTAATGCTGGCCTCATAGAATGAGTTTGGAAATATTCCCTCCTCTTCAATTTTTTAAAGTAGTTTGAGTAGAATTGGTATTAGTTCTTCTTCAGATGTTTGGTAGAATTCAGCAGTGTTTCTATCAGGTCCTGGACTTTCCTTTCATGGGAGACTTATTATTATTATTTAGATCTTACTCATTATTTGTCTGTTTTTCTATTTCTTTGTTTCAATTTTAGTAGATTGTATTTTTCCAGGAATTTATCCATTACTTGTAGGTTTTCCAGTTCATTGGCATGTAGCTGTTGATAGTAGTCTCTAGTGATCCTTTCTATTTTTCTGGTACCAGTTGTAATGTTTCCTTTTTTGTCTCTGATTTTACCTATTTGGGTTTTCCAGCATGTTGGTATTGTCTATCTTTAAAAAAAAAAAAAAAACTTTTTCATTTTATTGATCTTTTGTGGTTTTTTAGTCTCCATTTTATTTATTTCTGTTCTGATCTTTATTATTTTTTTTATTCTACAAATTTTAGGTTTGATTTGTTCTTGCTTTTCTGGTTCCTTGAAGTGTATCATTAGGTTATTTATTTGAAGCCTGTATTTTTTTGACATAGGCATTTATTGCTATAAACTTCCCTCTTAGTCCTACTTTTGCTGTATCCCATAGGTTCTGGTATATTGTGTTTCCATTTTCATTTGTTTTAAGAGTTTTTAAAAAATTTCTCTCATAATTTCTTCATTGACCCATTGGTCATTTGGGAGCATGTTGTTTAATTTCCATGTATTTGTACAGTTTTCAAAGTTCCTCTTTGCAAAGATTCTAGTTTTATTCCATTGTGGTCAGAAAATATACTTAATATGATTTCTATTCTTTTAAATTTGTTGAGACTTTTTGGTGACCTAACATATGCCCTATGCTGGAGAATGTTCCATGCACTGATGAGAAAAATGTGTGTTCTGCAGTAGTTGGATGAAATGCTCATAAATGTCTGTTAGGTCCATTTGGTCTAGAGTATAGTTTAACTGCAATGTTTCTTTGTTAATTTTCTGCCTGGATAATCTATCTATTGCCAAAAGCAAGGTGCTGAAGTCCCTTACTATTACTGTATTGCAGTCTACCTCTCCCTTTATTTCTGTTAACATTTGTTTTGTATATTTGGGTGTTCTGGTGTTAGGTACATATATATTTATTAATGTAATATCGTCTTGCTGAATTGATATCTTTATAATTATATAATGGCCTTTTTTGTCTCTTTTTATAGTTTTTGACTTAAAGTCTATTTTATGTGCTATAAATATAGCTATTCCTGCTCTTTTTAAAGTTCCATTTGCATGGAGTATCTTTTTCCATCTCTTCACTTTTACTCTATGGGTATCTTTATAGGTGAGATAAGTTTCTTGTAGGCAGCATATATTTGGGTCTTGTTTTTTAATCCATTCAGCCATTCTATGTCTTAATTGGAGAATTTAGTTGATTTACATTCAATGTTATTATTGATAGGTAAGGACTTAATACTGTCGTTTTACTTGTTTGCTTGTTGTTTTGTAACCCTGTCTTCCTTTCTTACTCTCTTTATTTGTGGTTGTGATTTTCTCTGGTAGTGTGTTTTAACTCATTGCTTTTGATTTTTATTATATTTTAGGTTTTTGCTTTGGGTTACTATAGTGCTTACAAAAACATTTTATAGTTATAAGAAGTTACCTATAACTAAGCTAATGTTTTTGTAAGCACTCCTGTAGTCCCAGCTAATTGAAGGCTAACGTGGGAAGATCTCTAGAGCCCAGCAGGTCAAGGCTGCAGTGATCTGTGATTGCACCACTGCACTCCAGCTTAGGTGACAGAGTGAGACCTTGTCTCAAACACACACAGACACACACACACACTGATAGCAACCTAACTTTGATCACAAAAACAAGAGAAAAGAAACAAATACAAAACATGTACACATTAACTCCATTCTCCCCCTACATTTTGAATTTCTGATGTTACAAAAAATAATAAAAGAATTTACTTTTAAATTTGATAATGTTTTCTTTCATAGAGGCAGAAAAGCATGTAAATCAAAGATTGACCTGTTCTTGTGGTAGTCAGTTTGTCTGTGAGTCCATTTGGCACTCCAGCATATATCATATTGGAAGAGTTTCAGATTTTTGAATTTACATTTCCATGATAGCTAATGAGGGTGAGTACTTTTTCATAATTTGAGTAACTTCTGAAATTTCTGCTCTTGTCTATTGCCCATCTTGATGTTTGGTTTCCAGCCTTTTTCTTACTGGTTTGTAGAAGTTTTAAGATAAATTCCAGATACCAGTACCTTTGACATATGGCACATATCTTCTTCCACTCTGTGGATTGTCTCATTAGTCTCTTAATATGGTCTTTTTGCTGGAAAAAAATTCTAATTTTAATGTAATTTAACAATCTTTTGTGGTTAGTGTTGTAGTGTCCTACTAAAGGAATCTTTTCCTACCCCAAAGTTATGAAATATTCTCCTATGTTATCTTCTAGAAATTTAATTCTTTTGCCTTTTACCTTTTGATCTACAGCCCACCTACAATTGATTTTTATGTAAAGTTGAAGGTAGAAATCAAGTTTGTCTTTTCTTCTCCATAGGACTATCCAGTTGACCCATCATCATTTAGTGAAAAGACCATTTATTAATTTTTTCTTGCTGTGTAACAAATGAACACAAGCTTAGTATCTTAAAACAACACCCTTTTATTAACTCACAGTATGTAGGTAAGGAGTTCATGCTCAAATCAAGTTGTCAGCCAGGCTCTTCTTGTCTGGAGGCTCTGGGAAAAAAAAATCCAATTCCGAAATTGCTCAGATTGTTGGCAAGACATCCATTTTGTGTGGCTTTAGACTGAGGTCCATGTTTTCTTGCTGGCTGTCAGCCAGGGTGCTTCTCTACTCATATATATATATATATGTATATATACTTAAAGTTCTAGGGTACATCTACACAACGTGCAGGTTTGTTACATAGGTATACATGTGCCATGTTGGTTTACTGCACTGATTAACTCATCATTTACATTGGGAATTTCTCCAAATGCTATCCCTCCCCCAACCCCCCACCCCACGACAGGCCCCACTGTGTGATGTTCCCCTCCCTGTGTCCAAGTGTTCTCATTGTTCAATTCCCACCTATGAGTGAGAACATGTGGTGTTTGGTTTTCTGTCCTTGTGATAGTTTGCTCGGAATGATGGTTTCCAGCTTCATCCATGTCCCTGCAAAGGACATTAACTCATCCTTCTTTATGGCTGCATAGTATTCCATGGTGTAGATGTGCCACATTTTCTTAATCTAGTCTATCATTGATGGACATTTGGGTTGGTTCCAAGTCTTTGCTATTGTGAACAGTGCTGCAATAAATATACGTGTGCATGTGTCTTTATAGTAGCATGATTTATAATCCTTTGGGTATCTACCCAGTAATGGGATCGCTGGATCAAATGGTATTTCTAGTTCTAGATCCTTGAGGAATTGCCACACTGTCTTCCGCAATGGTTGAACTAATTTACACTCCAACAAACAGTGTAAAAGCATTCCAATTTCTCCATATCCTCTCCAGCATCTGTTGTTTCCTGATTTTTTAATGATCGCCATTCTAACTAGTGTGAGATGGTATCTCATTGTGGTTTTGATTTGCATTTCTCTGATGACCAGTGATGATGAGCATTTTTTCATGTGTCTGTTGGCTGCATAAATGTCTTCTTTTGAGAAGTGTCTGTTCATATCCTTCACCCACTTGTTGATGGGGTTGTTTGTTTGTCCTCTCTCACTTCCTTGAGCAGTGGTTCGTAGTTCTCCTTTAAGAGGTCCCTCACATCCCTTGTAAGTTGTATTCCTAGGTATTTTATTCTCTTTGTAGCAATTGTGAATGGGAGTTCACTCATGATTTGGCTCTCTGTTTGCCTGTTATTGAGGATAGGAATGCTTGGGATTTTTGCACATTGATTTTGTATCCTGAGACCTTGCTGAAGCTGCTTGTCAGCTTAAGGAAATTTTGGGCTGAGACAATGGGGTTTTCTAAATATACAATCATGTCATCTGCAAACAGGGACAATTTGACTTCCTCTTTTCCTAATTGAATACCCTTTATTTCTTTCTCCTGCCTGATTGCCCTGGCCAGAACTTCCAACACTATGTTAAATAGGTGTGGTGAGATAGGGCATCCCTGTCTTGTGCCGGTTTGCAAAGGCATTGCTTCCAATTTTTGCCCATTCAGTGTGATACTGGCTGTGGGTTTGTCATAAGTAGTTCTTATTATTTTCAGATACGTTCCATCAATACCTAGTTTATTGAGAGTTTTTAGCATGAAGGGCTGTTGAATTTTGTCAAAGGCCTTTTCCGCATCTATTGAGATAATCATGTGGTTTTTGTCGTTGGTTCTGTTTATGCGATGGATTACATTTATTGATTTGCATATGTTGAAACAGCCTTGCGTCCCAGGGATGAAGCCAACTTGATCGTGGAGGATAAGCTTTTTGATGTGCTGCTGGATTCGGTTTGCCAGTATTTTATTGAGGATTTTTGCACTGATGTTCATCAGCGATATTGGTCTAAAATTCTTTTTTTGTTGTGTCTCTGCCAGGCTTTGGTATCAGGATGATGTTGACCTCATAAAATGAGTTAGGGAGGATTCCCTCTTTTTCTATTGATTGGAATAGTTTCAGAAGGAATGGTACCAGCTCCTCTTTGTACCTCTGGTAGAATTCGGCTATGAATCTGTCTGGTCCTGGACTTTTTTTGGTTGGTAGGCCATTGATTATTGCCTCAATTTCAGATCCTGTTATTGGTCTATTCAGAGATTCCACTTCTTCCTGGCTTAGTCTTGGGAGGGTGTATGTGTCCAGGAATTTATCCATTTCTTCTAGATTTTCTAGTTTATTTGCGTAGAAGTGTTTATAGTATTCTCTGATGGTAGTTTGTATTTCTGTGAGATTGGTGGTGATATCCCCTTTATCATTTTGTATTGCATCTATTTGATTCTTCTCTCTTTTCTTCTTTATTAGTCTTGCTAGCAGTCTATCAATTTTGCTGATCTTTTCAAAAAACCAGCTCCTGGATTCATTGATTTTTTGAAGGGTTTTTTGTGTCTCTACCTCTTTCAGTTCTGCTCTGATCTTAGTTATTTCTTGCCTTCTGCTAGCTGTCGAATTTGCTTGCTCTTGCTTCTCTAGTTCTTTTAATTGTGACATTAGGGTGTTGATTTTAGATCTTTCCTGCTTTCCTGTGTGGGTATTTAGTGCTACAAATTTCCCTCTACACACTGCTTTAAATGTGTCCCAGAGATCCTGGTACGTTGTGTCTTTGTTCTCATTGGTTTCAAAGAACATCTTTATTTCTGCCTTCATTTCATTATTTACCCAGTAGTCATTCAGGAGCAGGTTGTTCAGTTTCCATGTAGTTGTGTGATTTTGACCAAGTTTCTTAATCCTGAGTTCTAATTTGATTGCACTGTGGTCTGAGAGACAGTTTGTTGTGATTTCCATTCTTTTACATTTGCTGAGGAGTGCTTTACTTCCAACTATGGGGTCAATTTTGGAATAAGTGCCATGTGGTGCTGAGAAGAAGGTATATTCTGTTGATTTGGGGTGGAGTGTTCTGTAGATGTCTATTAGGTCTGCTTGGTGCAGAGCTGAGTTCAAGTCCTGGATATGCTTGTTAACCTTCTGGCTCATTGATTTGTCTAATATTGACAGTGGGGTGTTAAAGTCTCCCATTATTATTGTGTGGGAGTCTAAGTCTCTTTGTAGGTCTCTAAGGACTTCCTTTATGAATCTAGGTGCTCCTGTATTGGTTGCATATATATTTAGGATAGTTAGCTCTTCTTGTTGAATTGATCCATTTACCGTTACGTAATGGCCTTGTCTCTTTTGATCTTTGTTGGTTTAAAGTCTGTTTCATCTGAGATGAGGATTGCAATCCCTGCTTTTTTTTGCTTTCCATTTGCTTGGTAGATCTTCCTCCATCCCTTTATTTTGAGCCTATGTGTGTCTCTGCACGTGAGATGGGTCTCCTGAATACAGCACACTGATGGGTCTTGACTCTATCCAATTTGCCAGTCTGTGTCTTTTAATTGGGGCATTTAGTCCATTTACATTTAAGGTTAATATTGTTAGGTGTGAATTTGATCCTGTCATTATGATGTTAGCTGGTTATTTTGCCCATTACTTGATGCAGTTTCTTCATAGGATTGATGGTCTTTACAATTTGGCATATTTTTGCAGTGGCTGGTACCGGTTGTTTCTTTCCATGTTTAGTGCTTCCTTCAGGAGCTCTTGTAAGGCAGGCCTGGTGACAAAATCTCTCAGCATTTGCTTGTCTGTAAAGGATTTTATTTCTCCTTCATTTACGAAGCTTAGTTTGGCTGTATATGAAATTCTGGGTTGAAAATTCTTTTCTTTAAGAATGTTGAATATTGGCCCCCACTCTCTTCTGGCTTGTAGAGTTTCTGCTGAGAGATCCGCTGTTAGTCTGATGGGCTTCCCTTTGTGGGTAAGCTGACCTTTCTCTCTGGCTGCCCTTAACATTTTTTCCTTCATTTCAACCTTGGTGAATCTGACAATTATGTGTCTTGGGGTTGCTCTTCTCGAGGAGTATCTTTGTGGTGTTCTCTGTATTTCCGGAATTTGAATGTTGGCCTGCCTTGCTAGGTTGGGAAAGTTCTCCTGGATAATATCCTGAAGACTGTTTTCCAACTTGGTTTCATTCTCCCCATCACTTTCAGGTACACTAATCAAACATAGATTTGGTCTTTTCACATAGTCCCATATTTCTTGGAGGCTTTGTTCATTTCTTTTTACTCTTTTTTTCTCTAAACTTCTCTTCTCACTTTATTTCATTAATTTGATCTTCAATCACTGATACCCTTTCTTCCACTTGACCAAATCGGCTATTGAAGCTTGTGCAGGCATCACGTAGTTCTTGTGCCATGGTTTTCAGCTCCATCAGGTCATTTAAGGTCTTCTCTACACTGTTTATTCTAGTTAGCCATTCACCTAATCTTTTTTCAAGGTTTTTAGCTTCCTTGTGATGGGTTTGAACATCCTCCTTTAGCTTGGAGAAGTTTGTTATTACCGACCTTCAGAAGCCTACTTCTGTCAACTCATAATGTCATTCTCTGTCCAGCTTTGTTCCATTGCTGGCGAGGAGCTGCAATCCTTTGGAGTAGAAGAGCCACTCTGGTTTTTAGAATTTTCAGCTTTTCTGCTCTGGTTTCTCCCCATCTTTGTGATTTTGTCTACCTTTCATCTTTGATGTTGGTGACCTACAGATGGGGTTTTGGTGTGGATGTCCTTTTGGTTGATGTTGATGCTATTCCTTTCTGTTTGTTAGTTTTCCTTCTAACAGTCAGGTCTCTCAGCCGCAGGTCTGTTGGAGTTTGCTGGAGGTCCACTCCAGACCCTGCTTGCCTGGGTATCACCAGCGGAGGCTGCAGAACAGCAAATATTGCTGCCTGATCCTTCCTCTGGAAGCTTTGTCCCAGAGGGGCACCCACCTGTATGAGGTGTCTGCTGGCCTCTACTGGGAGGTGTCTCCCAGTACATGGGGGTCAGGGACCCACTTGAGGAGGCAGTCTGTCCGTTCTCAGAGCTCAAATGCTGTGCTGGGAGAACCACTGCTGTCTTCAGAGCTGTCAGACAGGAACATTTAAGTCTGCAGAAGTTTCTGCTGCCTTTTGTTCAGCTATGCCCTGCCCTCAGAGGTGGAGTCTATAGAGGCAGCAAGCCTTGGTGCTGCAGTGGGCTCTGCCCTGTTTGAGCTTTCTGGCCGCTTTGTTTGCCTACTCAAGACTCAGCAATGGTGGACGCCCCTCCCCCTGCCGGGCTGCTGCCTTGCAGGTCAATCTCAGACTGCTGCGCTAGCAGTGAGCAAGGCTCTGTGGGCGTGGGACCCGCTGAGCCAGGCGCAGGATGTAATCTTCTGGTGGGCCATTAGCTAAGACCATTGGAAAAGTGCAGTATTTGAGCAAGAGTGTCCCATTTTTCCAGGTACAGTCTGTCATGGCTTCTCTTGGCTAGGAAAGGGAAATCCCCTGACCCTTGTGTTTCTGGGGTGAGGCGATGCCCCGCCCTGCTTTGGCTCACCCTCCCTGGGCTGCACCCACTGTCCAACCAGTCCCAATGAGATGAACCAGGTACCTCAGTTGGAAATGCAGAAATCACCCGTCTTCTCTGTCAATCATGCTGGAAGCTGCAGACCGGAGCTGTTCCTATTCGGCCATCTTGGAACGGACCACTTCTCTACTCTTTTTTTTTTTTTTTGATACGGACTCTCGCTCTGTCGCCGAGGCTAGAGTGCAGTGGCGCAATCTCGGCCCACTTCAAGCTCCACCTCCCGGGTTCACACCATTCTGCCTCAGCCTCCCGAGTAGCTGGGACTACAGGCGCCCACCACCACGCCTGGCTAATTTTTTGTATTTTTAGTAGAGACAGGGTTTCACCATGTTAGCCAGGATGGTCTCGATCTCCTGACCTTGTGATCCGCCCGTCTCAGCCTCCCAAAGTGCTGGGATTACAGGCGTGACACTTCTCTACTCTTTAAAGGCCACTCTCAGGTCCTTTCCATGTGAGTTCCATCTTCATACCTACTATGGTGCATTTAATCCTTCTAGTGCTCCAAATCTCTGACTTCCTTTCTGCAACCAACCAGAGAAAACTCAGATTTTAAAGGGCACATGTGAATAGGTTAGGCTGGGCCCACTAGCATAATCCTCCCTTCTTAAAGTCAACTCTGCCAGATAACATGACCTATCATAGGAGTAATATGTCATATTCACAGGGTCAAATATTTGAAAGACGTCTTAGAATTCTGCTTACCACAAACTGTCTTTTTCCCACTGTTTTGAAGTGCTACCTATGCCAAAAACAAAATAGTCATATATATGTGTATATATATGTATATGTGTATAATATATATGTATATATATGTATAATATATGTGTATATATGTATAATATATATGTGTATATATATGTATAATATATATGTGTATATATATGTATACTATATATCTATATATATATATCTATATATATATATACACACACACACACACACACACCCCTATATATATATAGTCCGGGGTGAGTCATATATATAGTCATTTCTGGGAAGAGTTTATGTAGAATCAATATTTCTTCCTTAATTGTTCATTGAATTGACTAATGAAATCATCTTGGCCTGGGGTTTTCTTTGTGAAGAGATTTTAAATTACAAATTCCATTTCTTTAATATATGTAAGACTATTCAGGGTATCTGTTTCTTTTTGAGTAAGCTTAACATTTTTGTCTTTGTGCAGACTTTGTCCATTTTGTCCAAGGTGTCTACATTCATGACATAAAGTTTTTCACAAAATTATGTGATTATCCTTTTGATATCTGGAATCTGCAGAGATGTCACCTCTCTCTTTCCTGATATTTGTAATATCTTAATATCTTTTGTCTTCTCACATTTTTTTCCCTGATCAATCTGGCTAAACACTTATCAATTTGATTGTTTTATTGAAGAACCAGCTTTTAGTTCCATTTATTTTCTTGATTATTTTATTGGCTTCAATTTCATTAATTAATTGCATTAATTTCTGGTGTGAACTTTATTTCCTGCCTACTTCAGAGTTAACTGCTCTTCTCTTTCTAGTTTCTTGCAATGGAAACTGAAATAATTGATTTTGTAATGTAAGTTTTTAGCGTTATAAATTTCTCTCTAACTACTGCTTTGGCCCTGTCCCACAAAGTCTGATATCTTGGAGTGTGACTTGCTTCTTTCACTTAGCATAATGTTTTCAGGGTTTTTTCATGGTTTAGCATGTGCCAGTGCTTCATTACTTTTTATTGATGAATAATATTTCGTTGCATGACTTTACCATGTTTTGTCTTTCCATTCATCAATTGGTGGACATTCAGATTGTTTGCACTCTTTGACTATTATGAATAATATTGCTGTAAACACTCATGTACAAGTTTTTTGTGGACTTATGTTTCTAATTCTCTTGTCTATAGGTGGAATTGCTGGGTAATATGGTAACTCTGTATTTAATATTTTAGGGAACTGCCAAACAGTTTTCCAAAGTTCCTGTACCAGTTTATAATTCTAACAACAAGACATGAGGGTTACAGTTTCTCCACATCTTGTCAACACTGGTTATTGTTTGTCTTTTTTTATTATAGCCATCCTAGTGAAGTAGTATCTCATTGTGGTTTTGATTATATTTCCTTGATGACTAATGATGTTGAACATCTTTTCACATGCTTATTGGCCATTTGTACAGATTGAATATCCCTTATCTGAAATGCTTGAGATGAGAAGTGTTTAGGATATGGGATTTTTTTTGGATTTGGAAATATTTGCATATACATAATGAGATATTTTGGGAATGGGACCCAAGTCTAAACACAAAATTTACTTATATTTTATATACACCTCATACACATAGCCTGAAGGTAACTGCACAATATTTTTAATTTTGTGCATGAAGAAAGTTTTGACTGCAACCCATTACATATAGTCATGTGTGAAATTTTCCACTTGTAGCATCATGTTGGCACTCAAAAAGCTGAATTTTGGAAGATTTCAGATTTTATGTTTTTACATTAGGGATACTCAACCTGTACATCTTCTTAAGAAGATATTTAGAAATGTCTGTTGCAATCCTTTGCCCATTTTCAATCAGATTGTCTTTATTATTGATTTGTAAGAGTTCTTTATATATTATGGCTAGAGATCTTTATCAGACATATGATCTTTTCCCATTCTTTAGATTGTCTTTTTACTTTCTTGATGGTGTCCTTTAAAGCATAAAAGTGTTAGTTTTGATGAAGTCCAATTTATTTATTTATTTTTGTCACTTGTGCTTTTGATGTCATAGTTACAAACCATTCTGTAATCTAAGGTCACAAAGATGTATTTCTCTTTCCTACTGAGAGTTTTATAGTTTTAGTTGTTACATTTAGGGCTATGATCCATTCTGAATTTATTTCCTATGTCATGTGAGGTAGTGATCCAGCTTCCTTCTTTTGCACATGTATATCCACTTGTCCAAGTTCCAGTTGTTGAATGTTTATTAATTTTATTATCTTTGTCATTTCTGCATCAGTTTTGACTGATCAGTTTTTCTCCTCATTTGGGTTGTATTTTCTTGCATTGCATGCATGATAATTTTTTATTGGATAGCTTACATTCTGAATTTTACCTTGTCAGATGCTGGATATTTTTGTACTTCTATAAATATTATTGAGCTGTGTTATGGGACACAGTTTTGTTATTTGGAGACGGTTTGATACTTTCTGGTCTTGCTTCTAGGCTGTTAGTTGGTACCAGAATGGCATTTGGTTTAGGGCTAATTTTACTCCACCACCAAGGCAAAAACCTCTCTGAGTTCTCTAGTTACCAGTCCCCAACCTTTTTGGAACCAGGGACCGGTTTTGTGGAAGACACTTTTTCCCTGGACCAGGCTGGGGGAATGGTTTGGGGATGATTCAAGCACATTACATTTATTGTGTACTTTATTTCCATTATTATTAAATGTTAATATATAATGAAATAATTATACAACTCACCATAATGTAGAAAAGTGGGAGGGAGCCCTGAGCTTCTTTTCCTGCAGCTAGACAATCCCATCTGAGGGTGATGGGGGACAGTGACAGATGATCAGGCATTAGATTATCATAAGGAGCACGCAACCTAGATCCCTTGCATGCTCAGTTCACAATATGGTTTGCACTCCTCTGAGAATCTAATGCTGCCAGTGATCTGACAGGCGGTGGAGCTTAGGCAGTAATGCAAGCAATGGGGAATGCCTGTAAATACAGATAAAGCTTCACTTGCTTGCCTGCTGCTCACCTCCTGCCGTGTGACACAGTACTGGTGCTGCTCTAGTGGATGCATTGTTGGTTGTGACGTTCTCTGGTGGACTGGTAGAAACAGTGACTATTCTCAATTCAGGGATTATTCCCTCTAATTCTTTCAGATGATTCCTTCACCCAGCTTCTCAAAATTTCTCATACAATTGTGCTGATCTGCACCTAGCTGAAATTCAGGGGGTCCCCTCTGCAGATCTCTGGAGCGTTCTCTCACTCACTACAGCTTTCTCCTTCTACAACTCTGCCCTACCAAAAACCACTGCGGTAGCCTCCCCAAACTATCACCTCTATCTCCTTGATTACAAATGCATTGTTTTAATCAGGTGTGTTAACATGGCAAGCATGGAGACAACTGCCTTTGAAAGAAGAGCTACTTAGAATTCTTGAAAGGAGGGGGCATTGCACACTAGGCAGGGCCTCATGGGGAAGCACCCAGTTGGGGAAGGAGGCAGAAGGAGCACAGGAGAGCATGGCCCAGAGCCTTCATTGTGGTCCCCATGGGAAGGAAGGGATGAGGCAGTTTAGGCAGCTGAGCAGGTTTAGTTAGGATTGGCTGGTATGAAAAATTTTGGTGGGCTTTGAGCTATAGGAGTAGTTCCTAGATGTCTTGTGTCCAGCCCTGAAATAATTCCCAGCAGGATTTAGAGTGATTTAGAGTATTTGGCTTGTTGTGTGAGAGTTTTCTAAGGGAGGTGGTTGGTGGGTATGGCCTTTGGATTGGTTGTTTGCTCAATATGAAAGAAATGTTCACCGTGGAATCATTTGCTATCTCTAAGAATTTAGCTAGTCATGGGAGGGGCAGCCTCTCCCCGACAAGCAAGGCCTCCAAGATGTCAAAGCATCATAAAATGAAGACAATAAAAAACAATTAATGCACTTATCAACTGAGGGAGATTACCAAGCTCTGCTTGTACTTCTCCTTCTTGCACTGTAGCCTGAAAACTTTTCAAATGATAAGCTGAGACAATCATAAGACTCCTCTCATTCGTTTCTCTTTTCTCAGGGATTGCTGTCTTTTTGTTGCCCAATATCCAGTGTCTTGAAAACTTTTTTCTTCATGTATTTTATCTTTTTTTTTTTTTTTAGTTGTTTCAGGATTTTAGGTAGGAGGGTAAATCCAGTCCCTCTTACTCCATCTTGTTCAGAAGTAGAACTATGGAAAATCATTTCCATTTGAAATTAAAATTCAGTTGAGATTTTTGGGAACCAATAACAGTTTAAACAGGTTTGGCTTCTATATCGATAATTCAGCAGTCTTTATTAACAGATTGGAGTGTTAGAGCAAGGTAGCGAAAAGACAGAGCATCTAAGCCAAGACAAAGGATGGGTGGGAAGACTTCAAGTAGACAGAATGCCATGAACAAAATGGCTGAGGATGCAAATTTTATGTGTTTAGAGGATAAGTAGCTCACATTCACTGGAAAGCATGAGTCTTTAAATGAAGCCAAGCTTCAACATAGGTTGGGATCAGATTTTGTAGAGAAGGCTAATGGGAGTTATAAAGAAAATGAGAATTTCTCTTTCAATAAAATCTGTCTTTTCCTCATGGTGTTCCCCAAACTTTTTTTTCTCCTAAGCCCCCACTAATATTCATTTTTCATTCCTTCACCTTCTCCTAATATCTAATCCATTTCTTAGCTCTGTAAGGTCGGCCTTATTTGTAGCTCTAGAAAGAACTTCACTGCTCAGTAAGGTAGACATTAGCCATATGTGGCTATTTAAATGTAAATGAATTAAATAAAATTGAAATTTCAGTTCCTTATTGCCCTGGCCACATTTCAGGTGTTCAAGAGGCACATCTAGCCAAGGGCCTTTGTATTGGTTGGATAGCACAGGGAACATTTCCACCATCACAGAAAGTTATATTGCATAGCACTACTCTAGAATGTGCTCAGAGGCAAAATTTTAAATTTCATATGCGGTATAACTATGTGAAAACTAAGACTTAACAATAAAATTTTAAAGATTTAAATGAAGTCATCAAAATAGTAATATTGATTATTTTTCACTAAGTTCTTGCTAATCATTTCTTCTACTCATATAATTTCTGCATTTTATATACAGAGCACATGTTTATAGTAGGAAAAATTATGTCTTTGATCATTTATTCTTTTTCATACTATAAGCACTTTAAGTCTCATTCTCTCCCCCACTAGACAATATAATAGTATTCTAACTAGTCTCTTAGAAAATAATACAAATTGAAAAAGAGAAAGGCTATAGAAGAAAAATGACAGAGGATTAGTCTAAGAGAGCCAATACCCTACTAGTAGGAGTTCCAGAAAGAGGGGATGGAGAAAACAGGGGAAGAAATTACCAAAGAAATAATAAAAGAAAATTTTCCAGAAAGAAAGTTGGTAAGTCCAAACAGTGAATGGGCCCACTGGATTTCCAGTCTAATTAAGGAATAGAAGACTTGTATTAGGGCATATTCCTATGAAACTTCAGGATTCTAGAGCTAAGACAGCTGAGTTTGAGGATAAGGAGATGGGATAGGGGCAGGACAAAGGGAAGTAGTCACATTCCAAGAAACTAAAATTGAAATCATAAACCTTGGATGCTGGAAGATAATAAACTTGAGGGTAAGCCCCTTTCAGCTTAAAATTCTATATACAGCCAAACTATGTGATTCATGTGGGAAAAGAAACAAAAATTAGACATGTAAACATCTATAAAAATTCCTGTGTATCTTTTTATTAGTTACTGGAAAATGTGCTTCAGTAAAGTAAGGGAATAAACCAAGAATGAGAAAGTCATGAACAGAATCCATAAAACAGGGAATCCAGTCCAGAGAAGTGGCAAAGGGAAGTCCAAGGATGACAGCTATGCAGCAGGCCTGGAGAGCAACCCGTCCAAGATTGGATCAAAAGAATGGAAGGCTCTGTGGGGGGAGGGACAGAATAAATGAATTATTGGATGTGTTTGTACATTTGGGAATAAAATCTGATGCATTTTTGAAGAAAGAATTTTCATTGTCTACTCATGAGAAAAGAAAATCAAGTAAAGGCAACAAATAATTCTAGGAAAGACAAAATGATGTACAAAGAAAGAAACTATAACCTATTTGAAAGGGAGGCAGGGAAGTGAGAGGAGAAGAAAGGACAGGCAGATCACCTGGGATTCCATCAACCAGAGATAACGTGTTATTATTTTATTGTTTATCTTTTCAAATAAATCTGTACCATACACATAATGTATCTTTACAATAGTGGGATCATACTGTACTATTTCATGGTTTGTTTTTTGTCAGTTACTATTATTTTTAAATATGTATTTGACATTATATATTCTGCAGGATAATTTTTAATAGGTTATAGAATAATTAATTTAGTGAATAGACCATAATGTATTAATCAAATCTCTGTTGCTTTAATTTAGTTGGTCCTTATAAATTCCCTGAAATATAGTAAAACAAAGACAGTTCTGATTTTGGAACCGGGACTTAGAGTCTTATAGTCCAGCTTCTTAGTATATAACTGCGACTAAATATCCTGTTCTGATTTAGGAGATTAGGCCAAGAAAATGCAGAATATTTACTCCTATATGTACTCATGCTAATATCACAGACAGACAAGAATGATTAAAGTGCTACTTTTTAGGATTATATCATGGCTATATTTAAGGGAGCATCTCCTACCCTATTCTCTGTCTAGAGTGCTGCTAACCCAAGTATCTGCATGGTCCATTTTCTCATTTCATTCAAGTTCTTCTCTGTTCACACATCCCCTTATCAGGGAGGTCTTTTCAGTGAATTTTACATAAAATAGGCCACCTCTGTCACTGCACAGACTTATCTCCTAAGCTGATTTTATTTTTCTCCATAGCACTTTCTCACCATCTATCATCCCAACACTAAAATATAAGCTCAAGAATAGTGTTTCTGTCTTGTTTGTTGCTCCATCTCCAGCGCCTAAAATAAGGCCTGGCATAAAGTAAGTAGGTGCTCAGTCATCTTTGAATGAATAAACAAATGAATGAGTTAATTAACTGGGACTTAGAAAACAATAGGAACAACCCAAGAAGGCAGTGAAGGGAAATTCTAAGTCGACAGTGGTCCAGGTTAGAGCAGAAGGTCTCAGGGTCCTGGAAAGGAGGTCTCCAGGAAGAATTGACTCAGAAAAATATTGAGTAGAGTTAAGAGGGAAAAAAAGGTAACTGTAACGAAAACAAATGTTGGAGGACAGAGAATGGAAGTGTAAGAGTGGAAGTGTGGTTCTAGATACCACTTGGCTCAGCAGTGAACAATATTCAGAAGTAAAGGTGTAAGTATATTATTTAAGTAAGAATAGAATAATTCAAAATAAGATATAAACATGTTGAGAAGATGGCAGGAAGGAATGGTAGGGCTGTAAAAGGGAGCTAAATCCTCATCTTTCATAGCAACTCAGCAAGGGTAATCAATAAGTTATCAAGAAATGACAAGATGATCGTAAGTGTTTAGAGGTTTGAAGATAACTGGTGGAAGGACAGCTAAAAGAGTTCAGAGAGGCTTCCTCTAGGAAACGGGTCTAGAAATGGGAAATGATGGAAAAGAAAACTATGGTTTGGCACTACAACCATTTCTGTGATATTTGATATGAAACTATATATGTGTATGTGTGTTACCTTGATAAAACTTTAAACAAGGAAAGCAGAGGCAAAATGTAAAAATTAATAATCTGGGAGCTGGGTGCGGTGGCTCATGCCTGTAATCCCAGCACTTTGAGAGGCCAAGGCAGGCGGATCTTCTGAGGTCAGGAGTTCAAGACCAGCCTGACCAACATGGTGAAACCCTGTCTCTACTAAAAATACAAAATTAGCGGAGTGTGGTGGCGCATGCCTGTAATCCCAGCTACTCTGGAGGCTGAGGCAGGAGAATTGCTTGAACCTGGGAGGTGGCCGTGAGCCACGATCGTGCCATTGCCCTCCAGCCCGGGCAACAAAGAGCGAAACTCCATCTCAAAAAATAATAATAATCTGGAACTAAAATTCCAGATGGTTGAAGCAACAGGGATGGAGGCAGGATGGGAGGAAGGCATGGGGAAAGTGCAAGTATGCTAAGGTCATGCCTTGTTTAGATGAGTAATTCCAGACAGCAAGAGAAAATAAAAAGTAAGTTTGCAGTTTTTAGGTAAGGCTAACCACTAGATAAATAAAAATGGAATTTATACTTTCAGATTGTTAATGAAAAGAAATTTGTTAAATCCTGGGTGGGGAGGAAAATTCATCATTCACACTAAAGATAAGAGGCAGAAATAACAAGAAAGCGTAGGGTATATAAAGCAAGATGACTGGCGTCAGACCAAATAGCTTTGATCTCAATATATGTGAATATGTTTAGTCCTTCTATTTAAGAAACAGAGACTTTCAAACTGCATTTTTAAAGAAGTCCACTTACATGATTTCAAGAGACATACTTGAAACAAAATGACAAAAGATTGAAAATGAAGGGAAGGACAGATGCTGGCAAAAAAGAAAGCAAGATAAGAATAATAATACCAGCCAAAATGGAATTCAGGGTACAAAGCATTGAATGAAAATTTTCTTACCAGTACAAGAAAGCCACATAAACTCATGTTATCTCTGGCGTTCTTCCTCTTTCCTAGGTATTTGACATCTTGAAAGTGAGCATCACTTTGCTTATTTTGCAGCCAGTGTAATGGGACTAACCCTATTGAAAACTCCTGGAGAACTTTAAACGTATTTTTAAAGATAAATAATCCTTTTAGTTGTTTCCTTTAAAAAAAAAAAAGCCAGTATATTTTCATGTTAGTAACTGTTTGCATTTTCTTGGTATACATGATTTATTGGTAACAATTTGTACTTCTAAGCCTTAAATCGAAATAGCACATATTGGTCTGGTAAAATTGCACACATCATCTGCTGTGGTATCTGACATTGGGCTGTGGCACTGTTAAACTTTTGCTATGGAGAAGCCAGATGAGGTTGGAAGAAGGTTCTTTTAAATGAAATGCTCTTGTTTCCAGAGACTGTGTGCATGTTGCCTGACTCACATTCCTCTGTTGGCCTCACCAGTATCTCTCATCAGATAGCACGTGCCAAAAGAAAGGAGGAACATGAATTTACTAAAATTAATTTGAAATTTGTGTTTGTTCTATATATTCTAAATGTTTGACTTTTTATTTTTTAAATGTAGCTAATGCTGCCTACCTTGGGGGCCAAGAAATGATGGAGGTGGTGAAGAGAGATGACGAAACCATAAAGGAGCATTTATGTAAGGTAATCACTTTAGTGCTGCAAGGGGATAGATAATAAGTAGATGGGCAGAGATACGAGGGCAAAGGACTAGAACTAGTTAGAATCTGTAAGACTTTAAGGGTTGGTAGAATGACATAGAGTTCTACTTCCAGTTAAAATTGAAATTATCCCTGAAAGTTGTGTAGAGAGTAGTAAAGCTAATTGCATAATAACTTATTTTTTTATCACCTGTTTTTGTTGAATTAATTTTAGAATCAATACTTTTCTATTTTGTCAATGCATTTTAGCCTCTCTAGGCCTTCTACTGAGAAAACTCCATAATATTTATAGAATAAATAATGTTGGAATATAAATGAAACAGTGGAAAATACATTATATGTTATATGATCTCATGACTAGTGAGCCTTTCTTATTCTCTAATGTGTTAGAGTAGGAATGTCCTGCTCTGACCCTAAGACCAGTTTTGTGAAATATTCAACATTTGGGAGTTATGCTGCAAATACTAGAATCTTGCACACACACATCTGGAAGCACCAATCTCTGAAACTATAAGAGTAGGGTTTAGTATATGTCTAAGGTCACCCTAGAATTTGGATGACTGTGGTACTCCTGTGGCATCATTTGTCTGGCTGTCCGTTCTGAGTAGGACAGAACTGTACTAATATTATAGCCACTAGCCACATGTGGTTATTTGTGGCTAGCCTTAATTGAGTTGTGCCATAAGTGTAAAACACACATTGGATTTCAAAAGTTTAGTTCCCCCAGAAGCAAAGTATTTCATTAATTTTTATATTGATTACCTGTTGAAATACTACCTTAGATATAGTGGATTAAGTAAAACATATTATTAAAAGTAATTTCACCCATTCCTTTATAATTTTTTAAACATTGTAACTAGGAAATTCTAAAATTGCATATGTACCTTGCTTTATGCTTCTGTTGGACAGCATTAGTCTTAAACTTTACAATTGGTGCTGAACTATGATACCTGCTGAAATGATCCCTGCTGAGTGGCAAACTCTCATAGGACTCAGGAGCAATCCACAAGTGAAATACGAGATAACCCACTGGACTTAGAATGTCTTTATAAACCTTGATACATTTGACTTAAACTTTTCTACATTGTTAATTCTTAATTCCATAACCTCCCAGTACAATTATCTTAAAACGAGAAGTGTATATGTTCTTAAAATTTTTTTTTTAGAATATTGAAAATATTCACCCAGAGAGGACTTTTGAAAATGCCAGTGTTGTTTTGTCTCATGGCCATAGTGGTCATCATATTTCTGAAATAGCAGTTGGCTAGAGATTGAAATTTGGAAACCAGAAGGAAGCCCTCACTAGCCGAAGGGAGAGTGCTGGGGCCTCAGGAGGGCCCCCTCTCCAGGGCTTTCAGCTACTTCCAGTCACTGAGCGATGTGAAAATACAAGAAAAACAGTATTTTATTTTCCATTTAAACTGTAAGTGAATCTGTTTCAAAAATGCATTTAAGTTCTTCCAGGTTGGGAGTTCATAAAAACAGCTCAACTCTCAGTTAATAATAAGACTGGCAGATGCTCACTTCCAAAATTCACACTTGCTGAACAACTAGACCCATCATGTGTCAGAGTCTGCTTTACCACCTGTGGAAGCCAGCTGCTGTAAAATACTCATCATTTCTGGATTCAGCTTGTGTGTTGTGCTCAGAAAAAGGTCAAAGAAAGGTGCTAACTTATTCCTGTCCCAAGTGAAATCCATATGCAAGTGTAATCATTCCCAGATAGAGGGCTGTTCATGGTAATTATGTCAGGACTGTAAGTTTACTGAAATTTTATGGGGAAATACGGGGGTGTAATGGTAAATGGTAGACATTTCAAGGTTAGTATTAACACACAGTCACAGGAATAAACTTTTTCAACTCCAGGCAATAGTTTTGTTTTTGAGATAGCATTAAATATACTTCTAGAATATGGGGAAACAAAGCATTGTTTCATTTAATCATGCAAAACTACCTTGCAGTTAATTCATTATCCTTTCTACCAGCAAAATTCAAGCTCTCCACTAGAATAATACAATTACAGCTCCTAAGTGAAACTAGGTACAGAGAGACAGGAAGTTTATTGCAACTTTTTGTTTCTGTAATAAAAAGAGGAAACATGCTGTAATTTAATATTGGTAGAAGTTGAATCAACATATGTCCCAGTCTGCTTGAGAAAATAAGGAAACTTAAAAGTGCACATAGTTCTAGGAAGATAGTGGGCATTGCTTCCTGCCTTCCAAACACCCCCGATAACTGGTCAAACTAAAACCAATGCCCGGGATTAGAAATATTCCTATTTAGGTATCTTAATCGAGGATACTCTTTCCCATTTCCACCCAAACAAAGGCGTTCAGAAACTTCAGAACTATCCAGGACTGTCCAGTGTGAATAGTCATCAAGCCACACATTTTGTTGAAAAATCATTTCCTGTATCTCAGCTATTCAACTAAAAATAGTTCTGAAAAATATATCTTTGTGCCATCCAGCCAGAATGCCACAGGAAAGTTAGTCTAAAAATAAGCTTTCTACTGTATCATGCAGACAGCATTCTACTTCTTTCTCCTCCCCAAGAGAACTATCATACCATAATCTACAGGCTTTGGTTCTAAATCCAAATTTTCTACCACTGGATTTCCATTTGACACAAGAAGAGAGCTTTTTATATGCTTGAGGAAAATGGGCATTTTTAGCTCTAAAAGATCTGTTGAGCTGATTATCCTCCTTCTGAGGTCCAGTGACTTTATACACAGTATTGGACATAAAGTAATTTATTTTATTAAAATAATTTTTCTTTCCTGGAGCAAATATAACAGACTCATGGTTGTTTCCAAAGGAGTATACCATGGTTTATGGCATCATAGGTTATTTCTTTTTCCTTTTTTTGTTTTTTTGAGACAGAGTCTTGCACTGTCGCCCAGGCTAGAGTGCAGTGGCACGATCTCGGCTCACTGCAACCTCCACTTCCCGGGTTCAAGCGATTTTCTTGCCTCAGCCTCCCGAGTAGCTGGGATTACAGGTACCCGCCACCATACCCAGCTAATTTTTACTAGAGACAGGGTTTCACCATGTTGGTCAGGCTGGTCTCAAACTCCTGACCTTGTGATTTACCGGCCTCGGCCTCCCAAGGTGCTGGGATTACAGGCATGAGCCACTGCGCCCGGCCTATAGGTTATTTTGTCATTTGACTAAATCCTGCTTGTCTAGTGTCATCCCCAAGAGGCCTTCCCAGTCCTTGGTTTTGGTTAGATGTTACTCCCTATGTAAAGTTATATTGCATTTATCACACAGTATTTAAACAATCAACCTTCACCTTTCCCCACGTTGAGGTAAGGAGCTGTGTCTTCTTCGTCTTGATGTCCCCTAGGGCCTAGCATAATTCATACCTGGTAAACAGTCAGTAAATATGTGCTAGACAGATGGATAGATGGGGACGCCATTAACTAGAGTGTGGATTCTAAACCTTTTTTGTGCCATGCATCTCTTTCGCTCTCTCATAAAGCTTTTGGATTCTACTCACAATGATGTTAAGTGCATAAAATACACAAGATTACAAAAGAAAGAAGTTGTTGGATAATGAGATATAATAGCAGTCAGAATTTTTTTTTAATTTGTAATGATAAGTATAATGTTTTAGTTACCTTGAGCAAGTTAGTGTGATTTAAAAATACTTATCATTTTTATAGATGACAAAATATAGGCATTACTAATATTGTAGCTTGTTGCCTGTATTCCTAATTGAAAGAAATACTAAATTTTGGTTAGAGATTAACAAAAGTAAACATGTAAATTTTTCCAAAGTTTACATAACCCCTTCTCCAAACCTCTGGACCTGTACACCGCAAGCAAAGAAGCCCTGCGTTAGAGAAACTAGAAAAGGTTAGGTAGCATGATGTTGTGGCTTAGGCACTGGCCTGAGAACAAAAAGTCATGATATGCCACACTGAAGAGACTGTTTTGGGGAGCTATTGAAGGGTCTAAGCATGGGAGTAACAGGGTGACAGTCAAAACATTTGACAACCATGTGATATAGGGATTGACCAATCAGAATGTATGCCAGCTATGAACAGCCAGTTCAGGGGCACCAGTTCATATCAGTTAGCCCTAGGAATTTGGTGAGATTAACAAATGAGAGGGATTATCTTGAGGGCAAATGTGTGGTATAATACTAGAAAAGGATGAAATATGAGTTGGGGAGCCTGTTTACAAAGCTTTTATAAGAACTAAGGCATTGGGATTGAAGATGGAAAGATTTAGGAGATAGAATCAAAGGTACTGAGTACTAACAGGATATTGGGGAATGGAGATGGAGGAATCTAAGATTATTTCTTTGTATCTGGACTTGGTAATAAGACAGGGAATATGGGAAGAGAAGCAGCAGCAAGTTATGGGAGATGGCTGAACAAGTGGTTCATTTTGGTACTTGTATTTGAGATGCCAGTGGGACATGCAAGTGGATCCGTGTCTGGCAGGCCCTGGATGTATGGGTGTAAAGCTTAGAAAGATATTTGAGGCTGACTTTTGGTTGGGGAGTGATGAGGCTGTAGTTAAAGCCAAGAGCATGGGTAATAGCAGCCTAAAGAAGTATACAGAATAAGGAGAGAAGACTTCTAATGATTGATCATTAGGGAACCCAGCTTAAGGGTTGGGAGGAAGACGAGGAGCCACTGAATGAATAAGATGGGAGGGGAGGTAAGAAGGGTGGGAAGGAGAACCAGGATGAAATAAACCAAGGGAAGAGAATCAACTGTGCGTTTTCGCCACCCCAATCCCAGTTTGTCTGGAAACCTCTGGAGTATTCTCTGTTTCATGAGGCACCTGGTGTGTCAGAGGCAAATAAGAGGTCAGCACTCCCTTGTTCTGTCACTGTTCTAAGCCATAAGGGATGCATGTCTCATTCATTGAAAAGTGAACTCATGTTTGGTTTATAAACTTGAAGTTTTCATTTCAAACCCACTTAGGGGGGGAATTCTAAACTGCCATGACCACGTTTGGCCCAGGCTTACGGAAACAGCTGGTGTGTGCTACTGCCAGACTGAATCTGAGCATCACTATCAGTAAGTAGGAATCTGAAATTGCTCCAAAGAGAACACATGAAGTGCAGCTTTCAGATGAAGTTAGGCAGTGGTAGGGGGGCTGCCTGTAAGGTGGTGCTGCCCCTGCCCCCAGAGGGCCAGGCCAGGGCTACAGTGTGGCTTGGGAAAGGGGCAAGTGTCCTCAAGAACAGGAACTCCTCTGCTATTGCTCTCTCCCCATCCCTCTTAGCCTGCCTTAGCCCAAAGGTGTGTGTTGCCTTTGGGAGCAAACCTTGTGCAGTTGTTTGCAGATTGGGGCATGCAAATCCTTCTGACATGCACATGTCCTGCCTGCTGCAGCATAGGAAATGCTCCCTGGACCAGCTCACCAGGCCTGCCTTTCCGCCAAGCCTCGGTATTCTGAAACGGATTGTGTTAGTTCTGCCTGTTTAATTTAAAGCCTGTCCAGAATGTCATAATCATCCTGAAAATAGATAGGTTTGTTTTTATCTCAATATTGTGACCTTGAAAGCTTTATTTGGGCAATTGTGTGAGCACACTCTGGGGTTCTGCAGTGGAGCCTGGTGACTGAGGGGAGGCAAACGTGCTGGAGAGCTGGGCTCCCAGAGTCTCAGCCAAGCTTCAAACACCAAATCCACCCTTGTTCATGACCCTGCTTAAGTTACCGGACCTCACTGTGCCTCCTTTATTCATCAATAAAATGGTTAATAATAGTATGTAGCCTCATACAGCTATTCCAAAAATATGCTATAATTCATACCTTGTAATTCAGACCTTATAAGAGTATCTCCGCCGGGCACGGTGGCTCATGCCTGTAATCCCAGCACTTTGGGAGGCCGAGGCGGGTGGATCATGAGGTCAGGAGTTCGAGACCAGCCTGGCCAACATGGTGAAACCCCGTCTCCACTAAAAATACAAATATTAGCCGGGCATGGTGGTGCATGCCTATAGTCCCAGCTACTCGGGAGGCTGAGGCAGAATTGCTTGAACCCAGGAGGGGGAGGTTGCAGTGAGCCAAGATCATGCTACTGCACTCCAGCCTGGGCAACAGAGCGAGACTCCGTCTCAAAAAAAAAAAAAAAAGAAAGAGTGTCTGGAATGCACTAAGCATTCAATAAATGTTTTTATTACTATTACAAAGTTAGTTATAGCCTAGTTATGCTTCTAAGCACTTTAAAAAGACTATTTGCCTAACTGTTCCTCTTCTCACATCCCCTTTTCAGATACTTTCATTGTGTTAATGAAAGGTATTAGTGATGCTGAGTATGTGGCCAAGAGACCCCGGAATGCCCAATGCCATTCTAAACAACAGCCACCACTCCCCATAAGATGCCTCAAGGAGCTGTTGTATAGGAACCATAATGAGGGGAAAACACAATAGTACTTGATTTTTACCAAGGCTTGGGCCCATTATTCTAGTCCAGAGAAGTCTGATGAACTGGACTTAGCCCTTCTCTCAGTTAGTTGAGTAAAACCATTCCAGTACATTTGCCCCCTTCTTGGGGCACAGATCCAGGGAAGGACAGAAACACAGAAGGAGACTGGCGCTCAGGGCCTCTTACTTTGCCAGAGGGCCTCGCCAGAGGAAAGCAGAGGCCCTGGGTTAGCATCTCAGTGCAGTCTCACGTGAGAAAGAGACAAGCCAGTCACTTGATGGCCTCGTGGCTTGTATGTGGGAGGGAGAGGATCCTGGCCCTTTACATGTTAGCCACACGGAAAGGAGAGTGCTGCTCTGCACACCGCTGTATACACAGATGGTTGTTCCAGCTACTGGAGAGTGAGCCACACAGTGCCCCATAGGACCTACTCCTCCTTTGGCGCTCCCATTCCCACCGCTCCCCTCTGTGCCTGCAGAGAGAAGCAGGGTTCACGGGCGGGAAGCATTTGTGTTTTCACCTCCATCCTCAGCCACTTTTTAAAAATCTTTGGAGATTTCAGTTCTCATTTTCTCAAGAATGGTAATTGAGCCAGTTAGGAATAAACGGAAGAGAGGAAACAAGGTAACTGGAAAAACTGAAGTCCCTAAACCATCTCCCTTTCTTTAGCAATTCTGCAAGTCCCTAAAAACAGAGGCTCAGAAAGACTGCAGTGAAATGTTGACACTTTGCAGCTGCCTGTGTCCCCAACAGGGATAAGATTTTTTAAGTAACTGAAAGGAGATGCTTATATCACAGAATCGGTTTCCTTTAACATTGCAAGATTGGGGCTTACATGTCTTTGACTCTGAGGGGAGGGGAGAAGTGGAAGCCTGCTGCTGTCATCCAGACTGTCTGGACTCTCCCCAGAAATGGGCATGCATTGGAGGACCTAACAGTTTATATCCCGAGCCCGGGAAAGCTTCAAGGGGATGAAAACAGGAGATAAAGGCAGGGTAGGGGCCCTAGCTGGGAAGTAGGGGGCCTGTATGTGTAGGTACTAATTTGATCCCTTGGTATTCAACCGACTGCTTTATATCTGACCTTTTGCTTTTTTCACAAACAATGAAACAAGCAAAAAACCTGCTCTAGTGCAAATTATTTCAAAGAAGGAAAGAAAACCTGGAGAAAGCAGGAATGACATATTTTTCTTAGACCTCTGGAAGAAAGGCCAAGAAGATAGATCTCTCTCAGAATCTGTGTCACTCCTCTTTGGTCACTGTCTCTAGTGCTGGCTTCCTGGTTGCCCTGCCATGCAGCGTAAGCTGCCAGGGAGCTACAGCTGTTGATGAAGTGCTAACAGAAAGCCTTGCATTGCTCAGAAAAGCGGTGGGCATTACCTTCACTGCTGCAAGAACCCACAGGCTCACCCTGTGAGCTCACCAGGAAGAAAAGTAACTCCCAGAATGTCGGTGCCTTTCTTCATTTGGAAGATGCTCAACCAAGGATAGCCAAAGGGCACTATAGCTTAGGCTCCAGGTCTCCTTTATGAGGAAAAGTAGGTTTTATTATAAAAGTGGAAGTATAGAATCCACACCAAGAGCTGACTGTTAGTGGCGGCTTGAGGATAGGGATGTGCTTCACTGTTTATTTGGTTGGCGACTTATCTTCTACCCCACCTGTCTTTCTCTACAGTCATGTCTGGGGAATATGACATGTACATTTTTTAGATAATGAGTAAGTATATGGTAAAACAACTTTGTTTTATATTTTAAAAAATGTTTAATACTTATACATTTTCTGAGCCTATGTCAAAAACAACTTATCAGAATAGAATATATTTTCTCAAAGGCTAATGTAAGGTCATGTGGATTCTTTTTCCTTGAGCAGGGCACAGCTCCCACCCACCCAGCCCACCATTGCCCAGTCTGTGTCGAGGAGCTCCCTTTGTCCTCACCTGTAAAGCAGCAGCCTTTAAGAGTGCCCACCATGTGGAAAGCACTTGATACACTTTGTTTTCCAGTCCTCAGCACTAGCCCACAGGTAACTAGTTCTGTCTTACTTTACAGATGAGTAAACAGGCACAGGGAAGCTAAGTAACTGGTCCAGGCTCACAGCACCAATAAATGGCAGAACCAAGATTCCAGTCCAGGTGGATATGGCTCAGGGACCTGTACAGTCTTAACACTGTACTCACTGCACTACGCTCTTCTTGGCTGCATAAGGAGCTTGAGTAGTTTCACAAATTACTTTAGAATAATATAAATACAATTATTTTACCACACTGTGATATAAAGACATTATGAGAAGCCCTTTCACTCTCAGCATGACACCCCCAGAAATGCCGTTTACCACCCTGCTCAGGCCTGCACTATATCACAAAACAGGCACCCCACAAATTGACTACCCAAAGTAGTCTGTGCCAAAGGCTCATCAAGCTGGATTTCTCGTTGGAAACATTTCAAGTTGTATTGATGAGATATCGTTTGTACCAAACTTGACTTCGTGGTGAATTATGATTTAAAGAGCTTCTAAAATTCAGTTTATCCATAAGGTTAACACCAACAACAAATATATATATGCAAAAATATATAGAGATGCAAAACTTTCATTTTATTAGCCCTTTTATTCCTGTAATGCCTGTAGTCCTACTGTCCTATTGAATAGACAGATAATTCAGATAGAGATTTTTATGTGTGGCTTTTAAAATTGTTATTATTTTAAGATGTTGCTATGTCATTGAAAGTGAGTTTTGTTATTAGCTAAATCATAAGATGCTTCTAATATTTCTTTGTTCTTACTATAAATCCTCTATTAGTAATGCATAAAAGCATGCAACTCCAAATGTATACTAAAACAAAGCTTTGTTCATGTTCACTCCCTCAGGGCAGAATTTGGGTTTTCCTGCTTTGGGGTCCCGTAGGGCTTTGTCCATACCTCTGTCTGCCTGTTGTATTTAAGAGCCAGTTTATATAGGTCTGTTCTCTCGCCTAGTCTGTGAGCTGTTCCAGGGCAGAGACCATCTTACACACTTCTGAATGTCAGCCACTTAGCCTAGTACCAGATATGGGATGGAATCAGAGTCATTTTTGGTGGAACTCATTTTAATCTATCAGCTTCAGCAATTCACTGTCCAACAGTGCTGTTTGTAGACCCCCCAAAAAGTGGGGAAAAAAAAACACACAGAAGAAAAGACAGATGTGGGGACAAGCTGCAGCAACCTGCAGGGATATTTTAGGAGGGCCCTGTCCCCTTAGGTGCACATTAAACAGTTAAAGGGAAGTTCATCTATAAGCCCAGAGACCATAGTAACCATAAATCCACTTTCCTGCAGAAAACACAGGAGGAAAAGCCAAAGCATGGTTCTGGAGAATCAAAATCTAGACTGAAAAAAAGTTAAATTTTGTGCTTAATAGAAAACAATGGGTTACTTAACATGACAATTTGGAAACAGAAAAATTTCTATCTCAATAATGTATACTTTTTATCAACTCTCATGAGTTCCAAAACAAGTGCTAAGGATAAATAAACTACAGGAAATAATTTATTTTCTTCTAAACCTTTGAATGTAAACATCCTGCTGATTGCCTGCGATTCTTTGTTAACAAT